>NC_000007.14:84324960-84627991 GCF_000001405.40 Homo sapiens
TACGTTCAAAAAGAAAGACAAAAAGATACTTTATAAAATATGAAGCATGAAAACAAGTGGTATATCTAACAGAATAAATGCTATATATACCATAACTTATGTTTGTCTTTTTAAATAATAGACCTACAGACCTGTCACAATGGAGAATGTATATATCTCTATCTATCTATCTATCTATCTATCTATCTATCTATCTATCTATCATTTTAAAACAATTATTTAGTTGGGTCAAGTATGGAGCAGAGTTCTGAACTCTGAAGTTAAGGCAATGGATACATGAAGTTCCTGCTCCTATAAAACTAACATTCAAGTGAAAAGAAATAGACAATCAACTAATCAATCAAACAATCAAATTATGATTTTAAAAAATACTACCGAAGTGAGGCAAAAAAGAGAGTGATGAGTGGTGCTGTTTTAGATCGGAAGGTCAGGGAGAACTTCTCTGGAAAGGTCACATTTGAACAAAGATCTGAATAAAGACAGAAGATTTGCCACAGGATATCTGAATCTGAGACAGAAGAGACTCAAAGTATACAGGGGGAAGTATTCTTCTAGGAGTAGCAAGGAAGGCCATGTGGCTGCAGTGGTCCAAGCTAGGTGACAGGTGGCAAAGGAGATCAGCGATATATGAGGGAGTATAACCACCAAGAGTCTTGTAGACCATCAAGGAATAGGCAGGCCAGGAGGAACCTTGTATTTGTAAGGTTTTGAGCAGAGGAGTGATATGATTTGCCCCATTTTATTTTATTTTAGATAATAAAATATTTAATTAGCCAGTAAAGATTGAATATATTCAAGGAATACAATGATGTTATTCAATATACATATACATTGTTTAATGATTATCACAAATTAACACATCCATCACCACTCGTGCTGTAATTTAAATCACCAGAACTTGTTCATCTTGTAAGAGAACATTTGTATCCTCTGGCCAACATCTCCCCATTTCCCCACCCCCAACACTAGTATCCACTGTTCTGCTCTCAGCTTCTGTAAGTTTACCTTTTCAGATTCCACATGTAACTGAGATCATACAGTATTTGTCTTTCTCTGTCAGGCTTATTTCACTTATCATAATGTCTTTCAGGTTCATCCATGTTATAAAAATTGGCAAGATGCTCTTCTTCTTTCTGGCTAAATAATATCCCTCTGTGATCTGGCGTACTTCAAAAGAACCACTCTGGCAACATGGTGGAGTATGGATTATAGAGCTGCCTGTGCAAGCATGGAGATAATTTAGAGAGCTTTTACAATAGTTTAGAGGAAAGATGCATGTTGGTTGCTTATGCAAGGGCATTCATAGTGATAATCACTAAATAAGTATTTCTGATCAAATTCTAAATTGATTAATTCTATAGTATAAAGAGACAAATATAAACCAAAGTTAAGTGTTCTATGAAGCATAAACAATAAATATTTTCTTGAATTATTTGCTTTTGACTGATTTGGGTTTTTGGATATATAACTAAAACCTATGGGTAAATCACAGTTTCACTGTGGAGTTACAGAAAAGATACAGAATGATTAATTTTATTTTGTGAAATTTCCTTGTAAAAAATTGAATTTATAAGTGATATGTATTTAATAAATATTTTATGTATATTCATTTGATGATTATTTTTATTCAGTTTTGTGAAAATTTATGTGGCATAAAAATTTATCCTTGTGTTGAAAATAGTCTAGAAGGCTGTTACAGGCACAATATCATAGACCTGTTTTTAAAATGATAGCTTGTCTGACAAAAACAAACAATAGGGAAAAGACTCCCTATTCAATAATGGTGCTGGGATAGCTGACTAGCCATATGCAGTAGACTGAAGCTGGATCTCTTCCTTACATCATATACAAAAATTAACTCGAGATTGATTAAAGACTTAAATGTAAAATGCAAGACTATAAAAATCCTGGAAGACAACCTAGGCAATATCATCATGAACATAGGCATGAGCAAAGATTTCATGGCAAAGAAACCAAAAGCAATCACAACAAAAGCAAGAATTGAAAATGGGATCTAATTAAACTTAAGAGCTTCTGCATAGCAAAAGAAACTAACAGAATAAACAGACAACCTACAAAATACTTGCAAACTAGGCACCTAACAAAAGTCTAATATCCAGCATCTATAAGGAACTTAAATTTATAGAAGAAAATAATAGGTTATCTGAAATATGCAAAATCTGTTGATGAGTTTATTGCTACTCTTAATAGATTCACAATATTTTCAGAGAGGTGAACATTTGCCTATGAGAGAATTCCAAAAGATCTTTTGAAATAATTTACATAAAATAACTTAATTCTAGGCCATTAGGTATGTTCAATGACAGTCAGAAAGCAGGTAGTCAGTTTTCATTGGAATAATCAGGGGGCACTTCATGTAAAATAAAGTAGTCATGATGGGGGAAAGGGTGAAAAAAATGCTAGGAAGGAAAGGAGAAAGAGAGAAAGGGAGGTAGTGGGAGAAAGAAAAGCAGGTAGGCAAAGGTAGTGGGAAATAATGAACCATTGATATATGCCAAGAATTATACCAGGATTTTTTCACATATAGCAAGGTACTATCAAAGAGCATGTGTAATTTCTAACAGAGAATGCATGAGAGCATGAAAAATTATTCTTGATTTTTATAAGATCTCTCAGGATATTGTATATGAGATCTTTAAAAAAATCTATAAAATTATGAATTGTATATTTTAACCATCTTTTTTTACAGAATGTTTAATTTTTCAAAGTAGCATTATTTTAAACTAGCTCCAATTTTATAACTTTCACCACTGCTAGCTAATGCAAGTAATGTGGCATTTCATCAGAGATTTCAAGCATAAAAGCATGCAAATGATGCAAGCTTCAATGTAGAAAAGCAGCTATGGAACATGGTCTCTTTGATAAATGGATAATCATAAGGCTGTTTTCCTTTTCGCTAGATTTTTTAGCCAGAGTTAAAATGTAAACTAGGATTAATGGCAACAATATAATGTAATATTTGCATATATTCTCCACACAATTAATCAAACAGAAAGATAATTTATAGTAGTTCTAACTTATTGGGATAAAGGTTAGATTACGATTTCGAGTTTATGAATTAAATCTTTATAAGTGCTTCCATTTACCTTTCAATAATCAATTTTGTTGGAGTGCATATAATTTCTTTTGTACAAATAAGTTTGCTTGTAAATTATTTTTTAAAAGCCAGTGTAATCTTTAGGAATATTACTCAGAAAACCCAAAATGAATGAGGACTGGAAATTGGAGAAGTCAGTTATTATTTATGGCAGACCTATTTGGGAAAAACCATTTTAGTGTTCTCATCTTTACATTTCATAATACTCATTTGCATTGCCACAATACCATTTGATAAACATACGTAAACATGAATGACCTCTTTAACACCATGTCCTACAGAAAGTTCTGACATAACATAAACGTTCAGTTCTTGAAAGAAAGAAACAGTCAAAGAGAAAGAAAATGAAAGAGCAGGAGATAGAGGGGAAGAGAGACAAAATAGACAGTAACTTTTAGAATAAGAAGCTTCTTATATGAGAAAAATATCTTTGAAAAACGCAATGTTGCTTGTAATGCATAAAATATTTGAAAGCTTCTCTTTTGATGAGATAGACTCTTATGTACATTGAATCAGTCGATTATAACTGATCTATTTCGACAACCTATGGTAAATTTATACAGAATGAAAATGTCTTTTATTGTATTGACTTTTATTCATTTTGACTCATTTCCTTCCTTTGTTCATTCAACAAATATTTTCTAAGGATTTGGGGCCTCTACAAGATACTACCAGAAACACAGTTGTGAATGAAATGCAGTCTCAGCAGAAAAGGAGTTCAAATTCCCATAGAAGGGAAAGACATACAAATACATGATGAAAAGAAATGCAATAATTTAAATGAATCACACACAGGGTTATACAAAGTCTCTGGGAAATAATTTCAACTTCCTCTCACATATAATTTCCTAACAGAGGTCATTTTCAACCTGGAACTTTTTATTCATTTATTTATTTATTATTGTTATACTTTAAGTTCTGGGAGACATGTGCAGAACGTGCAGGTTTGTTAAACATAGGTATACATGTGCCATGGTGGTTTGCTGCACCCATCAACCCATCATCTACATTAAAACCTGGAACTTTTAAGAAAAAAAAACCCGATTGCATCAAGCAAACGGGGATGTTGTGAAGGGGGTAAGAGAAATCAATGACATTTTGGCAGAGGTAACATTATGTATAAAGGCATGAAGGCAGTAAAACATTGAGTGTTCAAGACATTACACGTAATTTTCTGTTTCAAACCAGACATTTTAATGAAACAAGTAGGTAAAAGATGAGTTTTGAGATGTCATGCAGCCGTGTCCAACCCTTTGAATGTGAGAACCTTTTTGCTTAAATGTGGTGGTGGATATCACCACATTATGCCGGTTTATTTATTTTATTTTATGTTTTTCAGCTCATCAGCTATTGTTAGTGTTAATATATTTTATATGTGGTCCAAGACAATACTTCTCCCAATGTGGCCCACGGGAGCCAAAAGGCTGGACATGTGTGGTCATGGCAAAAGATTTGAGGAAGATTGTAATCAAAGAAGAAACATGCACATATCAAAATTTTAGGAAGGACACTCTCCCAGAGACCTAGAAGAAAGACTGAACAATTAGATCATGTGACTATTATAATATCCAGGTGAACAATAATGAGATTCTAAAATAAGATGGAGGCCGTAGTTTTGTTTACCATACCCTTATAAAATACAGTGCTACATTATATTTTCTAATTGAAAATTAAAATAAACATTTAGTGCAAAATAAGAGGGAACACAGTGTATAATTTCAAAAGCTGTGTTATTTTATATCACATACTTGCACTTCTCTTTGTGCTTTCACATGGGGTCTCTCTGGCCTTGAAATAAATTACAGTCCCACACTGCAAAATTTTATGGTATTATTTTTCTGGCCAACTTAGGGCTTGTAACTGCTGGTTTAATTGATGTGTTTCACTATTTGATTAATTCAATAATAGTGATTTTGGGCCAATCATAATAATCCATATCAGATTCCCCACACTTTTACCTAATAAGCAAAGATGAAGCATAATCTAGAAAACACAGAATCTCATAACCAATAACATAAGTAAAATAAAAGCAAGGCCAGTTATGTGCAATTTATTTTAAGGCATCACTGGCTTATACTTAGCAGAAATAAATATATTATATCCTGGATATATGTCTCGTTGCTCATTTTAACCTATATAACAAACCTGCACATGTACCCCTGAACTTAAAAGTTAACTTTAAAAAATAGATCTCATTATTAAGTATTTTCATAGTACATTTCAAAAGTGAAGTTATCTCAAAAATAAAGTATGGGTGAGAAAAATGACTTTTTAAATGTACCTCCTGAACAATTAGGAATTCTAATATCAAACTTTGAAACAATTTTAAAAAGTAACAAATTATCATATGCACTTACTTAATAAGATCTACTGACTTAAATGTTTCCAATGAAGTTCATGTGTTTAGATGAATATCATAGTAAACATTCGGAAGATATCAGTGGCAGAGATGGTGAGGACATAAAGTAGGAAGGCACATGTACATTTTCATCTCTTATCACTGGAAGGGTATTACCTAGTTTATTTTTCCTTTACCACCCAAAATAGTCATCTACAATTGACTTTCTATCACTTTTTTTCCCCCTGTGGTACATGGGATATGGTAGTTGTTTTTTATTTATTTTTTTGCATGCTTACATGACTAGGTATTTTAGAATACTACAAGCACTTTTTTTAAAAAATAATTCAACTCCTCCATGAAGCATAAGCTAATGACTGCAATGGTCCTTCCCTCATATTCTGAGATAAGAATGGTTTGGATTTTATTAAATCAAAGAGGATGAAAAGTATAGAAATGGATTATGTTCTTTATCTATCTGTTTGATAAGCATATCTGAGGGTGGCTAGCCAAGGCATTCAAGACATAAACCAATGATTCCATGCCATGGAAAGAAAGGAAAGAATCATACACTGTTAGGTTTTATAGATCAAAGTCAGTATCCTAGGTTTTATATTTGAATGTCATGACCTATGTAGAAATGTACTGAATGAAGTTTCAAATAGTCAATACCTGTGACAGATATGGTTTTCTTTTTTGAACTATTGATTGCTTTTCTGAGTAATCTCCAAATCCTACTTTGAAGCCATCCAATCTGGATCACAAAAATACGTCAAGAACTTTAGGGTATCAAAAAAACAGAAGTATCTAAGATGACTAAGGAATTTGCCAGGGGTATTTGGAAGAATTTTTGGCTTTCTTCCAAAGATTTTTTAGCTTGAAATCAAGGCTTAATATTTTATGACAAGAGCCTTCTACCTTAAACAAAGTCTGTTGAGTTTCTGCTTTTAATCCCAACCCATAATTTTATAATAAAGTTTGAAAATGAAAGATTCAGGTGATTCTAGTTACTTTAACTGTTTCAAATTCACTTAATTTTTAAGTTAAGTTTTCATTGCCCCTTATCTACAATGCATTGAAATTGTTCTTTATTACTAGCAGTTTGTGGTTTTATATGCTTCTAACTAATCATTGTTCATTATACCAAGAGAATCAGATTTCCAACTATGGTTTGATGTCATTGTGTATATACAGGACGTCCACAGGTGCCTGGAAAGCCATAAAGAAAAAGAAGGAAACCAGCCAAGACTAAAGTTTCACAGATCCAGATGTGGCTGCTGCTGCTGTTTGGGAAAAAAAAAATAACACATTTTAGACCTTGGCATTTCAGCATTACAGCTGGCAAGTAATAAGAGAGAATGAAGTCTGTGTGCGTGCATGCGTGCGTGCATGCTCCTTTTGTGGCAGAAAAGGGGGAAATGGAAGGCAGGAAAGTCCAATCTGCTGGAGTAAAATAGAAATGTGGATGAGAGCCTGTTCAACCCCACTGGCAATGAGGTATTTCCCTTTTATTAATGAAATGTTCTGGCACAGTGGAAAAATATAATTTGCATGAATGAGCACATCAATCTAAAAAAGTAAAAGTCCTGACTCCTGGTCATTTCTTTCAGCTTATTCACAAAATTCTCATAAGCAGGATTCAGTTGTCTTCCTCTTTAGTTAAGTTACTTATTTTTTACCATTATTCAGCCATATATACCCTTCAGAGAGAGTTCCAACAAAGGATCTGGAGACTACATAGGTCATTGAATCATGTGATATGTTAATATCAAGTGGCTCATAGCAGATGTTCCTATCAGAATATTACAAATAAACCCAAAATTCTAAGTCCCAACGACTCATTTCCAGAAAAAAATAACATTATATTTGCTTAATATTAAAATGTTATTAATGTGATTGTAAATTATTATGAATTATTTTTCATGTATATGTAATCTACCTCTTTTTATTTTTCACAGTGCCCATCACTGGATACACCACCAATGAAAAGAGATGTTCTTAATTCTACGAAGTCTTGGACAGTAGTCTGCAGAAATCTAAATGGCAAGACAAGTTAACATCTGTTCATTCTTTACTATAAGTCTACACTTACAGGATAAAATTGAGAAAAGACAATTTAAAATCATCCTAATCTGAAGAAGCTAATCCTTGTTTTCTTTCAGTGGCAATTTAGTGTGGTAGTTAAAAGAACATAGCTTTAACATGTGGCTGTGACGTCAATCCAAGGCACTGATAAATTGAAATATATGTGTGTGTATACACACACACACACACACACACACGTATGTATAAATCTGTGCTTTATTTAAAAAGCATAGAAGAAAAAATAATTTATTTTTTAGTTCTTACCCCAGAGTAAATATTTACAGTTCTTGACTATATTAAAACATTGAGTACCTTTATTAAGTTTACTATACTGAAATATGTTATTATTTACATGTCTTGACTCCCTACATACATATTATCAAGGTAATGACTTAACATTTCAGAGTTATGAATCATTTTATCATTTAGGATAAGAAAGAGAAATAATGCAATCTCATTCTATAAAAAGTCATGATTCCAGCTAAGACTGGTATCTTTAATAATATATCAGGACTTGATTTAGGGAGTCAATTCATTAGTTATTTAGTTACCTCCATTGATACTATTTTTGTGTAATTGCTGGTCATGATGGAGCATGTCTTATATAAGATGTGAAAAATGACAATTGTAACTTTGTACTTTTTGTGTCAAATTAGAAATAGCTTTTAAAACTTGCTGTCTTCCAAAATCCTCAGTTGAAGCACCTATCAAGATTTTCATCACAAAAAACTTTGAGATCTCCATTGATGCTCCCTAAGTTGGTGTTTTCACCTCTGCTAGATTGTACAAAATGCAACACAAGGAAGAAAGTATCCTCCACTGGCTAGTATTCCAACTCAGTAACACTCTAACTTGACCATGATGATATCGAAGATTTTCTACAACACTGACTCTAGAGTCTTTAGCCTCATCATTTACTTCTTTACCATAATGCTTAGCACACATAGAAGAAACTAAAACAAGCAAAGAAACAACACGATGAGGTGAGGAGAGTGACTTTAGTTAATAGAATGATACGAAGGAGTACTTAATTATTATTTCAAAATTTCAAACTGTTCTAGCTTGCCAGGATATACTCTACTTTCCAAAGAAAAATTGAAATGCAGAAAAATACAGTTCTAAGACAAGAAAGTAAGAACATAATCTGGTAAATGTGCTAATTTTGAAATATTTTAAGGAAGGACATTTTCAAAGGTGTAATGCCTATGAGCACTGACACATTTCTCTTTTGTTTTCAGCTTGTGACTTTTATCCAAGACATATGCTATACATACAAAGTGACTAAGTATCTGTTATAATTTAAATGAATTCTAAGCCTTGGGGCATCAGGGAAGTTATTTTTAAATTTTAAAGGGAAATTACTTTTGAATTTGCCATTGCCAGAAATTTAATCTGAATGCACTGAAAAGAAGAGATGTAGTTTTCACTTTCTGGATTGTGCTATATCCTATATTTAACAGATTTTGTCATATACTTAAAGTCCACCAAATGTACTGAAAAGTAATAGTATATATCCATGTTTCATTTTCTTACAATTGACTAAATACTAAAAACAATAGTTTTTTTCTTAAAAGTTAATCATCTAAAATGCAATAAGTCATCACAAACTAAACTTTGATCACTGCTAGTTTAAGTTCTGTCTATATAATTCCAAATCTCGGAATTGATCTTTTTAAGAGTAAATATTTTGGATTAAAAGTTTATTTTCCATTTATATATTTGCTATTCTACAAATTTTGTTTTCATAAATATATTAATAAATTTTATGTAATGAAGATTTCAGAGTAATGAAAATATTTTTATAATTAACTTCTAAAGTTAATCTCTATGTTCATAATCTATAATTTACCTCATGAATTTCAATCTAATTTCATGTAACCTGAGATGAGATTTTATGGATTAGAAAAGTTTCCAGAAAACTAGGCTACTTACAATGTATAATTACATAAATAAGAAAAATATTTTATTAAACTAATGGCTTGTAATAAAATAATTTTAGCCCTCCATCCTTCCCCTTATTTCCTGCACTCTTCCTCCACCTGTTCCCTCAATTTTCCTCCTTGCTTCCTGTTTTGCTCTTCCTTGGTCCTGGCCCTCGCTTCTCACCACCTCTGTCTTACTTCCCTATTTCTCCCCCAACCTGCTGCCTCCTGGTCACCCCCATGTTCTTTTCCCCAACCTCAATCCTCCCTTTTACTACCTCCCTTTCCACTTGCCCCCCTGCTTCTTCCCTCCTGTCTTGATCCACTTTTCATCCCTCCATCTTCTCTCTTGTTTTCCTCTCACTCACAACCCCTGCCCTCCCACCACTCCCACCCTCCCCTCCTGGTCCTGCTCCCTGGCTCTTCCCCTGGCCCTGCCTCCTCAATTTCCCCCTAAGTCCCACGCCTCATTTTCTACTTAGACTACCCCCTCATTTTCTACTTAGACTCATGCCCTCAAAAAAACAATAATGATTTTATCTTGACATTTTTTGTGAAAATCTTTCTAAAATGTGGTACAATTTCTAACATGCTGTATATATTTTCTACTATAAATGCTTTAATATTTCCTTACTGATAAAAATTCAACCTTAAAATTTTCAATTTTTTGAAATACTTTGAATCTATTCTGTAAGATAGGGAGGATAAACTCTCTAAATTACTAGAATTTCCTATTGATTTTTGTATTTTTCTCTACTATTAATTTATTATGAATGTTGGTTGCAAATAGGCTTATAAAATAGATATAATTGTACATAATTTCAATTGGTCTTGGTATAATAATGGACTACACTACTTTTATAACAAAAAACATGAGTTTTACAAATTTTGCACCTTTATTCTTCAGATATTTTGTATTTATATTTTGAGTATGAAGGGTTATTCCCTGATAAAAAATATATTTTTACATTAGCAAATATAGGTTATAGTTGTGGAAGATAATAATTTATTAGTCCAACTAAGAAATTGTGATGGGTGTGTGAGAGAGAAAGTGGGAGCAAGAGAGAGATCTATCTTAATATCTATTACATACACACACAATATGTTTAGTTTTCGCTGAAAAGCGAAGATTATGCAATTCACATTTTCTTTGGGAATTTGATCATGTTATTTTTAAATGATAGACATTTATGAACTATGGAACAGGCATCTAAGCAAATAAATTATAATTAATAATAAGAATGAACGTATGACCTTAGAGAGTGAATATACTAACTAATTTTGTTTACTGACATTATCTCAAATTTCAGAAGTGGTCTAAGGAATCCCTGCCTATTTGAAATATAATGTGGGCTACATATTTAATTTTAAATTTCCTAGCATTCACATTAAAATAAATAAATTAAAAGGTGAAAGGAACTTTAAGAGTAGATTTTATTTTACTTAATATATTAAATTATTATTTCAGTGTGTAATAATTTAAAATTTATTGAGCTATTTTACGTGTTTTTTTCTTATTGTGTCTTCAAAATCTGTCCATTTCAACTCAGATTAGCCCAGTTTAAGAATTCAGATGCCACATGTGGCTACTTGGTATTTATAATATTGGACAAGACAGGTCTAGAGTGTAGCTAAAATCCAGTAACAGCATGATCTTCTTTAAAAAATATCAGAGCACCTTCTTCCTAGACACCATATTTAGAAGAATATAAGCAGGCAACTGTCACATTTAAATATTACAATGACTATAGAAACAAACCTTCTATGAGTGCAATTAAGAGGAAACTTTTCAAAACAGAGGAGGTAATTAAGTAGAAAATGTGTGGTTAAATCCACACAAAAAATGTTGGATGGAAAGATCCTTTTCTAAACAGAAGAACACCAAACATAAAAGGAGAGGGGAGGGTCGGAAACTTAGCATAGGCAAAAATTACCATATTTACTGAATAGAAGGCCAGTTTGGCTCTGGAAAACTTCTTCTTTTTTCCCCCCAGAGAGAATGGCCACACGCCAATAGATACAGGCCTAAAATAGAGTATATACTATGGTAACCATAGTAATGAGTAGATGGAACTAAAAAAAGCTGGTCTTGGGTGAGCAGATGTTCAGTCAAAGCAAGAATGAAAACATGAACTGCATTTCACAACCTCCATTTTATCTACATACAGTAGGACAGTGTTCTATGAGCCTGTGGGAGAAATGTGCTGAAGGAGGAGGAACCAGAATGCCAGGAATGCCTTGTTATCAGTACAGGCACACAAACCTAGGTTCCAACAGAAGAATTCATCAGAAAGAAACATCCTCAAGTAGGGCTATGAGAGATTGATACATATTCCAATTACATATATATCTTCATGCATACACGTACACTTTACTAAGTAAAGTAGCATGTCTTGTAATCTTGTAAAATAGTCTGTCTAGGTTGAAGTATGAAAAAATTATGTACTATTTCTCAATTTCCTTCAGGAAGTCTAACTTAAATATAATTTTTCTAAGAATAACATGGTTATCTATATCATGCCAACACCTTCCCTAGACTTGAAGTTATTTTTGCTGCAGAACTAGATCAGTGTTGTGGTTAGGAAGGAATATTATGCAGATTGCCTGGGTTTGAATCCTAGCTTACCAGATGACTTTGGACAAGTAACTTAAACTCCTTAAGACTCAGTTAACTCACCTGCAAAACAGAATTAAATAGTGTCAATTCATAGCATTGATATGAGGATTAACATGAAGAAATTAGGAGTGTCTGGCACACAGCATTAATAAATTTTATTTATTTTTAACAATAATTCATTGTTATTTTTATGCCATATGCCAATAAATTCCCAAAGACCTGGCAAGAAAAATGTTGAAACTATGTTTTACTGTGCCTAGCACATTTTTGTTGATGCATGTGTAATATATACATAAATGCACAAAAAATGCACAGAGATCCATGTCTACATATACTTCTATATTTTCCATCCCTTAAAGCAGGCATCTTATGAGAAAATAAAGTCATACTCAAAGAAGACAGGTAGTTCTCATCTTCCAGTGTGCTATTTGGCTAACAATCCATCATTGCATTCATCTGGCAGTGTTTCAAAACATATCCCAAGCCGCAGAAGACTACTGAGCCAGAGGAGCATTGAGTCATAATTAGCTCAAGATTAAAGTTCACCAAGGAATGGATTCAAATTCAATTTAACATAAAAAGGCTTTGGAGGGAGGGATCATTGTGTTGAGATCTCAATGAAGCAAGCTTGCATTCTTGATTATTGGAAACTCCTTGATAAAGAATCTCCCTAGATCCTTAAATGCTTTGTGCAGCTGGGGTTTGAGGTCATACTTTTCACTCCACTTGGTGTGGGAAAGAGAGTTGGCACATGTTCGTCTTGATCTACATGTAGCCCCAAAGCATTCTCAAAGAAAGAACAAAAGCATACATAATTGCCTTGCAAGAAATGTTTCTCAACAATAAATTTCAGAGAGCAGTGCTATATCTAGGAGGAGAACATTACAAATACAAGTTGAATGATAAACCCCACTGGTCAGGGACAGAAAGTCTTATCAAAGGTCTGACAAAAGCTTTATGTTATCCACAGTTTAACAAAAGCCTACACATAAATATTTTTATCATAATGTTCTACACACTTATACATATATATACACACATATCTCTATACACATATACCTGTATAAGTATGTGCATATACTGAGTATATGTGTATATATATAATAAAATATGTGTATATACATGCATATATATATATATAAATAAAATAGTGGAAAATGTTCCATATATCCCAATAATGGGTCAGTACATATGAAATGAATACAAATTATGTTCTTATGTAATACAGAAGAGAAAAAGAAACCCATTAAGATAACTAGAGTAATGCAAATCTGTGTGCTTCCATATCATTTTAACTATAACCAAAGTGTAGGTTGAGGAGGAAGTTAAACCATAAATTAATTAATTGTTTAGAATTACATTCCTCCCAAATTTTTGCATCATCCCACTCTGGCATTAGGATAGACAATAAGAGTTGATTATTAAAATGGTAATACTCTTAATGTTTTATAGATTGAAATTTATGATGCCCAAGAGCTTAAAGAAATGTTAAAGTTACCCTCAGACTTTACTTATAATACTCCAGGATTATTCCTTTGCAGCTAAGAATAAATATTTGAAGAAATAGGAAGTTTGGCACAGAGATTAGGCATAAATGAATATAATGGTAGTAAAATGACAGAGATGTGGATTTAGAAAAGCCGCAACCATACAAGAACACAAATCCTTAAATTCCAGTTCTATCTTCACATGGACCTTCTTAACATTGTTCATTCAACTGAAAAAATTTAGAAGCTTGAAGAATAAAAGACCAATTTGCCAATGTAGTTTTCTAACACTCCTTAAAAGAAGAGGGACAAAGTTTTAAGTATTAAGTGAACTTGTTTTAATCACCGATGGGAACAAGAGAACTGCATGGCCAAATCTAGTTTTGAAAAATTGGAACAAAAACATGTTTTAGGTTATTTTCATCAGAAGTGAGGTTTTACTTGAATTTGCTCTTTGTTTTTATATGTTATAGCTCAGATGTCTGTGGTAGGTTCCATTCTCCAATTTGGTATATATATATCCCATATATTGCATCTGTAGTAATAATTTAGTGCCAGGAATTGCTTTAGGCTTTTCAGGAATTAACTGTTCAAATGGTGTGCCCTTGGAAAATTACAAATCAGAGCATGGGCACTAACTGAATCAATGTAATTGCCCTCTATTTGGTGTGGGTTTGTGTGTTGAAAAGATGTATAATCCTAACAAAAGTAGATGAATTGGGGACTAATAGAGGCACAATAAGGGAGATCAGACTCTCTTTGCAGGGTCAATTAGAGACTGCTTGTGCAATTTCCCTCCTGTCTAATGGCCTTAATATGACCACATATTCTTATTATTGCTAGAAAGTTATTGAACATATGTAATCTGTGTATCTGCCTTTGTGGGTCCTTTCAATATTTCTGTTCAAGGCAGCTGCACTTGAAGCTTAAGGGTTTGCAGCTGTTGGAAGCTATATCAGGAACGTGAGGGTTTGGCACTCATTTTCATAGTTCCTACTGTGTAGAAGTTTGGCAAGAACTGTGGAAAGGGTATGGTGACTTAAAGAATGTTTGCAAAACTTTCCCCCATCATTGTGGTTCTGAGCACATGAAGTATGGAGTTGAAGAATATAAGTGTGGTTATTTTGATTGGGGCATTTGGGTTCCACTTATACAATTAACTATAAGGGCAAAACATTCTGAGATTCTGCTTAAATTTCGTTTTTTCCTTGATAAGTACAGTAAGAAGAATTCTGTGAAGTAGAGCTAAACGGTGTTTCATTTTCTCAATTCCAAAAACAGTTTTCAAAGCTTTAACATGATCATTCATACATATAGCATCTTTAAGGAACATATTAATGATGAGTAATCCTAAAAAAAATTTCAAGCTCATAAAACCATTTTATTCAATACATTAATTTGGGGAAAAATTATAATCCTCAAATCATCACATAGAAGATTTGAAGTCACTTTAGAAAAAAAACAGTCAGGGAGGATTAAAAAACATCACTTTAGAAAGAAAATTTAATGAATTTTAGCTTTGCCCAAAAAGGATATTTTGTAAAATTACCATACTGTGATGTAGTGATATTTATGATGAGACTATTTAACTCCTATAAAGAAAAAGAAATAGTTAATATACTTTTACAATTTCTGAACATGAGATTATTATAAACTATGAATCTCAATGCTCTTAAGAGGAAATTTGAGAAGGTGACATTTTCCTGGGTAGATTTTAAAATAATACATTAGAATAGATTAATAATTCAAAGATATCTCTATTTCTTGATTGATTATAGCATGTAATTAAAAGATATTTTTCAACTCTAGTAATTTTGAACTTAGTTTAGCCATAGAATCATACTAAATTCAGAATGAATTTATCTAGATGGATATAGATATAAATACTTTGGAAATATTTGTGTCAGGTTAACTATGCTATTAATAAATTTGTAATTGTTTCAACATTTCTGATGAAAATGCATCAAAAGCCTTGGCACAGTGGCTCACGCCTGTAATCCCAGCACTTTGGGAGGCCGAGGCAGGTGGATCACCTGAGGTCAGGAGTTCGAGACCAGCCTGGCCAACATCATGAAACCCCATCTCTACTAAAAATACAAAAAATTAGCTGGGGGTGGTGGTATACGCCTGTAATCCCAGCTACTCAGGAGGCTGGGGCAGGAGAATGGCTTGAACCCAGGAGGCAGAGGTGGGAGTGAGCCGAGATCACACCATTGCACTCCAGCCTGGGCAATAAGAGCGAAACTCCATCTCGGAAAAAAAAAAAAAAAATCAAAATAACTATATGTACATCAAATACATCAAAGTATACATATATACCTTTTAATATATATACTCTGAGGCATTTATTTACATATTTGATAGATTTATATTTTTGGAGAAAATATTTACATTTCTCACTGAAAATATAATGATGCATAAAAACAAAATAGTAATTAGTAATAATCCTCCATAAAAATATTTGGTATGTGAAAGGGAAATTACAATTCTTCTGATAGGCTTAATCTTGGTGATGGTTATATTTCCATGTACAAAGCAAAACAAAGAAAAACAGATAAATGGATTCCTCAAAATTAGCTTTTCAAGCATATCAGTGGAATAATTTAACAAGTAAAGTTTCTGCTACACTTCATGTAGACATGATTTGCCACAACATCAACCATATGGTATGCACATACTCTGTACTCTCCCTTGTTCCGGCTGTTAGCATGAGAGTGTATCCAACTAAGAAATTCATCTAGTACCACTTATTAAGCATTTCTTATGTGTGAAATATTGGAGATTTAAATATTGTTTCCAAGTTGTTCTCTGTATGTTTGTTTTATCAATCTTCAAAGAATATTTCAGAGTAAGATTAGGTTTTCCACCTTTTAGAAAATACCATTAAACTCCAAGTCATTAAGATAATTTTTTTCTAAATTAAAAAATAAATCACAAGCAAGTTGTCAACATTCTGATTCTTACACTAGTTCATAAATCTAGTTGCCTGAAACCTAGGAGGCGTTATTTCCCTTTTATTCTTTTCCATCCCACATTCATTCTATCAGCAGGTCCTGTGGATAATACTTCCTGAACAGTTCTTGATCCCCTCTGTCTCTACTTCTGCCCGAACAGTATCTATCTAAGCCTTCAGCCTTCGTCATCTCAAACCTGGATGACTGAAATAGCCTCTTTATTATCACATTCACTGTAGTTGTCCTTTAGTGTAGTCTCCACACTGCTTTCTGTTAAAGTGATTTTTAAAGCTAGAAATCCGGTCGTGTTAGCTACATACCCCAGGATGTTCCACCTTTCAGACTTTGAAATCAGCACTATGACTGCTGACCACCTTTTTTAACTAAAATCTTCTGGTGCTGCTTTTAGGAGTTTATGCCCCTCACGCTTTAGAATCTTTACCCACCCTGCCTTCTCACCTCCAAACCAATTACTTTCTACTCATTCTTCACATGTCATCTCAACTCAGTGAAGCCTTTCCTAAATTATCAAGTCAGATTCGTTTGTTCCTTGTCACTAATTTTTTTTTTTTTGACGGAGTTTCACCCTTGTTGCCCAGGCTGGAGTGCAATGGCACGATCTTGGCTCACCGCAAGCTTCGCCTCCTGGATTCAAGTGATTCTCCTGCCTCAGCCTCCCGAGTAACTGGGATTACAGTCATGCAGCACCATGCCTGGCTAATTTGGTATTTTTAGTAGAGATGGGGTTTCTCCATGTTGGTCAGGTTGGTCTCGAACTCCCGAGCTCAGGTGATCTGCCTGCCTTGGGCTCCCAAAGTGCTGGGTTTACAGGTGTGAGCCACCACACTTGCCACTATAGAATTTTTTTACTTTACTATTAAAGGTTACAATCATATTTTTGTGATTGTTTATTTAACATCTACACGATGAAGGCCATGAACACAAGAAACTCTATGTTCAAATGAACTAAATGAAAATTGAAGAAATTAAAAATAATTCAGAAGGAATATAGGCCTTCTAATTATATTTTTCAAGTAAATGAACATTTCAGGGAAAATAAGATATCTACAAATGCAGGAATAAAGAGAACCTTATACTCGTGTGCACACGTGTGTTTGTGTGTACAAATTTTTCAATAGACTTGCTTCAATTGTAAATTTTCCACATCTCTTGAACAAACACACTATTTGCTATGGTTGGCAATTACGTGTATAAACGATTAGTTGCTAATAGTATTCTTAAAATTGAGGAATACGCATTGAGTTATGAGAATGCAAAGGAAGAAAATAATAATTCTACCTGTAGACAGTGGGTAAGGAATTATAGAGATGAGGGATTTTGTGCCAGGCCTTGAATGGTGACAAAAGTTTCAGCAAGCACATGAATGGCAAAGAACACTATAGGCTGTGCAAACTATGTGAGCAAAATTATGGCCTCCTGATTGTGCTTAGTGTATTTTTGAAATTTTAAGAGCTAGTTATGAGTGAATAATACAACTAATGAGTATTTAATGAGCATTTACCAAGTATGCTTTGAAATGTACACTTTCATTTAATTCTCACAAGCATACCATGTAGGCACTACTGTTACCACTAACATTCATAGACCAGAGTGTTCCAAATGCTCAAACTAAGAATTAGAGCATTTTAGTAAATTTTGCATGAATGAATAGCAAAGGAATACATATATCTGAACTCAGACGCCCACAAACTTGACCATCAGGTTATAATTACTCTTGAGGAGTAGAGGCAGAAAGTGGTGAAAATAGAATTATAAATGGTAGTTGAATTGTGAGTGTATTGGATTCCATGTATAGGAGTTTAAACTTTGTCCTGTTGGCAACTGAAAACACTGGAAGGTCTACTCATAGGGTGATTATAATCCAATACAATTTTTAGAAAGATTTGTAGGGTGGACCATATGGAAAATTAATGAATGCAAATTGATTAAATTGCCTATGACTGCATTAAATTGCATATAACTGAGCTAGGCAGCTAGAAAACTTAAAGGTAATTTAATTCAGCCAGTTTCTAAAACTAAATACTGAGTGACTATGGAATCCTACTTCAAATTCTGCCAAATGCTGACTCTCTAAGGGAAATGTGTCTGGTGAGGATAAACTGGCTTTGAGAAATAGCTGAGGTGCTATGAGAAAGCCAAGTGGAGATGTCAATATAAAATTAGCAGTATGGATGGGGAGAGGAGGGCTAACTCATGATACAAATAGAAAAATTGTGACTGGGCACAGGGGCTTACTCCTGTAATCTCAGCACCTTGGAAGGCCGAGGGGAGAGGAGCTCAGGAGTGTAAAACAAGCCTGAGGAACATAATAAGACTTCATTTCTATGAAAAACAAAACAAAACAAACAAACAAAACAGTCACGTGTGGTGGCATGCACCTGTATTCCTAGCTACTTAGGAGGCTGAGATGCGAGGATCACTTGATCCCAGGAGACTGAGGCTTTGCAGTGAGCTATTATCACACCACTGCACTCCAGTCTGGGCAACTGAGTGACACTTTGTTTCGGGGAAAAAAAAAAAAGAAAATTTGTAATATTCATATAGACATTATTTAAAGAAAGAAGTAATCTGACTTTACAAAAAATACATTAATACTTATGCAAAATATTTATTATATCAGAATATGGTTATTCCTGGCACTGCAATTTGTTCAAATGGAAATGTTTGTCCGTATACTCAGTATGGATTTTTGACAATACTTTCAATATTA
Source organism: Homo sapiens (assembly GCF_000001405.40). Classification (NCBI taxonomy): domain Eukaryota; kingdom Metazoa; phylum Chordata; class Mammalia; order Primates; family Hominidae; genus Homo; species Homo sapiens. The sequence goes on from NC_000007.14 coordinate 84,344,213, forward strand.
TGAAGATAAACATTAGTGTTTCCAGCTAATGTTGCATAACAAGTAAGGGCCAGATTTACCCTTCCACTTAAACAAACAGAAAAACAAACACAAAATACACACACACAAAATGGTTGACAGGCATTCAACAAAAGGTAGAGCAGAACTGTGATCTCTCAGAGAAGAGCAATTAATAAGGTGAGCCCTACAATTGCACCAAGGTGTTGCTTGGGAGCGGTATCCAGAGTGCAGTGCAGAGAAGGAGAGAAGACCCAAGAATTGAACAAAATTTTTACTGAGTTGAGGATATAGGACTAAGTTCCAAAAGGCCAATGCAGCTAGACTTTGCTGGTTAGAGTCACGAAAAAGACAGAGATGCACTTTTGTTGGTTAGAGTCACGGAAAAGAGAGAGATACACAGGGCAAGAGAGAGGCCTCTGTTTGTTTGCAGTGTGCTCTGTCCTCAAGTCTTTGGCTGACCACTGATCTACTCAGGCGTGAGAGTAGACTACAAAACGAAGGAGAAAGAACTATTTTAAAAAAGAATAGGCAGAAAAATATCTGGAGCTCAAGGATTACGGTTCATGTTTCCATTATCTAGAGTGGGAAGCCTTCTTAGCACACTCAGCATTAAGTAGAATCCTTAGATTTACTCAAAATTCAAAACATCACTTTGAGAAACAGTGTTAGGGAAACAATAAGGCAAGGCACACACTGAAATAAAATATTTTGAAAACACATTCTGGAAAAACACTTTATCCAGAATACGTAAAGAACATCTACAACACATTAATAATAATACTATTTAAACAGTGTCTAAAATATTTAAATAGACACTATACCAAAGAATATACAGGTATACCTCAGAAATATTGAGAGTTCAGTTCCAAACCACTGCAATAGAGCAAATATCTCAATAGAGCAAGTCACAGGAGCTCTTTGTTTTCCCAGTGCATATAAAAGTTATGTTTACACTATACTGTAGTCTATTAAGTGTGCAACAGCATTATGTCCAAAAAAATGAACATACTTTAATTTAAAAATATTGTATTATTTAAAAATGCTAGCAATCATTTGAGCCTTAAGTGAATCATAATCTTTTTGTTGGTAGGAGGTCTTGCCTCCATGTTGATAGCTGCTGACTCATTAAGGTGGTGGTTGCTAAAGGTTGAGATGGCTGGAGAAGTTACTGAAAATAAGAAAACAATAAAATTTGCCACACTGATTGGCTCTTTCATTCACAAAAAATTTCTCTGTACCATGCAAAGCTGTTTGATAGCACTTTACACACAGTAGAACTTCTTTCAAAATTGGAGTCAATCCTTTCAAATCCTGCCACTGCTTTACAACTAAGTATATGTAATATTCTAAATCCTTTGTCATTTTTACAATGATCACAGCATTGTCACCAGGAGTAGATTTATACTCAAGAAACCACTTTCTTATACACCCATAAGAAGCAACTCCTTATCCATTGGAGTTTTAACATGAGATTGCAATAATTTAGACACAACTTCAGGCTCTACTTCTAATTCTACTTCTCTTGTTATTTGTACCACATATGCCATGACTTGCTCCACGGAAGTCTTCAACACTTCAAAGTGATTCATGAGGGTTGGCATCAATTTCTTCCAAACTCCAGCTAATGATATTTTAACCTCCTCCCATGAACTACAAATGTTCTTAATGACATGTAAAATGGTGAATCCTTTCTAAGCCAGGCATCGACATTTCTCCAGCTATTAAAGTCCTAGGCATCTTCTTCCATTAGACAGTTTTTTCATCTGCATTGAAAATCTGTTGTTTAGTCTAGTTACCTTTGTCAGTGATCTTAGCTAGACATGGATAACTTGCTGCAGCTTTTACGTCAGCACTTGCTGCTTCACCTTACACTTGTAAGTTATGGAGATGGCATCTTTTCTGAAACCTTGTAAACCAACCTCTACTAGCTTTAAACATTTCTTCTTCAGCCTCCTCATCTCTCTCAGCCTTTATAGAATTGAAGAGAGTTAGGGCCTTGCTCTGGATTAGGATTTGGTTTAAGGAATGTTGTGGCTGGTTTGATCTTCTATCCAGACCACTAAAAATGTCTCTTTATTAGCAATTAGTCTGTTTTGCTTTCTTATCATTTGTGTATTCTCTAGAGTAGCACTTTTAATTTCCTTCCAGAACTTTTAATTTGCATTCACAACTTGGTGAACTGCTTGGTGCAAGAGGCCTTGCTTTTGGCCTACCTTGGCTTTTTAAATTATTTATAGCTTTTTATTTAAAGTGAAAGATGTGTGACCCTTCTTCCACTTGAACACTTAGAGGCCATCGTCAGGCTATTAATTGGCCTAATATCAATACTGTTGTGTCTCAGGGAATAAGGAGGTCTGAGGAAAGGGACAGACATCGATAAATGGCTGGTCGGTGGAGCAGTCAGAACACACCAACATTTATCTATTAACTTTGCCGTCTTATATGGGCATAGTTTGTGATGTCCCAAAACAACTACAATAGTAACATCAAAGATTACTGATCACAGATCAACAAAACAACTATAATAATAGGGAAAAACTTTAAAATAATTCAAGAATTACCAAAGTGTGACACAGAGACATGAAGTGAGAACATGGTGTTGGAAAAATGGTGCCAAACGTTGCTTAACGCAGGGTTGCCAGAAACCGCTGGTTTGTAGAAAAGGCAATTATCTGCCACTTGCATAAAGAACAATAAAAGGAATAATTCCCATATAGTAATGGCAAATGAGCATATGAAAAGATGGTCACCATCATTACTCATGAGAGAAATAAAAATGAAAACAAAATGAGCTACTAATACACTATGGATAACACTAAAATGCTAATAACACCAAGTGTTTATGAAGATGTGAAATTTACCTGTATTATTTGTGAAAATACAAAATTGTATAACTGCTTTGGAAAACAAGTCAGCAGTTTCCCATAAAAGTAAACACAGATTGCCTCATACCCAGGGAATCTCAGTGCTAGATATTTATCCAAAAGAAATGAAAACATGCATTTCCATAAAGACTTGTATTCAACTTTATTCTTAATAAACAAAAAAGGCAGCTTTATTCTTAGTAGGGAATAACTAAAAAACAAAACAAATTTCCATCAACTGATGAATAAATAAATTATGATATATTCATAAAATGAGGCACTACTTAGCAATAATAAGAACAGCTTACATGCAACAAGAATGATTCTTCAAACCTTTTTTTTTTTTTTTTGTGACGAGACAGAGTCTGGTCTGTTGCCGGGCTGGAGTGCAATGGCGCGATCTCAGCTCATTGCAACCTCTGCCTCCCGGGTTCAAGTAATTCTCCTGCCTCAGCCTCTTGAGCAGCTGGAACTACAGGCGTGCGCCACCACGCCCGGCTAATTTTTGTATTTTTAGTAGAGATGGGATTTCACCACATTGGCCAGGATGGTCTCGATCTCTTGACCTCGTGATCCGCCCACCTCAGCCTCCCAAAGTGCTGGAATTACAGGCATGAGCCACCGTGCCCAGCTCTTCAAAGCTTTTTTTTAGTAAAAGAAGACAGCCACAACAGAATATATTCTCTATGATCCCTTTCTTATGACGTTCTTGAAAATGCAAAGTTTGAGATTCATACAGCAGATGAGTGGCGAGCAGTAGCCAGAGATGAGATGAGGAAAGCGACTGCAAAAGGTATAAGGCAACTTTCAGAGTGATGGACATGTTTCAGGACATGATTGTATTGGCGCATAGATGATCATCTAAACCCATCAAAACTCACTAAATCGTACATTTGAAATTGGTAAATTTTATTGTATGTTTAAAACATTAATGAGAGTGTTGATTAGTAGAAGTGGGTGTGTGGGGGGCCAGGGAATGTATGGGGACTCTGCATTTTCTGCTCAATTTCACTGTGAACCTAAAACTACTCCAAAAAATGTCTCTTTTAAAAAAGTCAATAAAAAATGCTGCTGAATATTAAATTTCACTTATCAAAAAAATTAATGTGGCTTTGCTAAACTCCTAATACCTTAATATTACAAAGGAAATAAATAACATTTATAGGATTTCTAATTAATTAAGCATTGTTTAAGTAGAAATAATATATATGAGAAAATACTAAATATTTGTTAATATGTAGCCAAAGTTAAGATTAGTTTTCCCTCAGTAGATTACAAAATGTAAACTCTCTTAGCATTAGCTAACATTTCTGTTTACCTTTTTGGTTTAAGAGATTATTTTTGTAAAAATTATTATTTAGTATTTCTGAAGGTATGTTCTAAAATTTATAATTATCTTTTTCAGAAGAGAAACAATCATTAAAACATAAGAAGGAATATAGTAGTTACAGTGTTGGGTAAAAGCCAGACCCCTAAAGTACATACTGCATGTTTCCAGTTACATGAATTTCAAGAAAAGAACTAAATATAGTGATAAAAGTCAGAATCTCGGTTCTATTTGTGGGGCTAGTGTCTGGAGACTGGCATGAAAGAATCGCTGGAGTTTCCATAAACGTTCTGTATTTTGGCCAGGTGCAGTGGCTCACGCCTGTAATCCCAGCACTTTGGGAGGCCAAGGCAGGCTGATCATGAGGTCAGGAGTTTGAGACCAGCCTGGCCAACATGGTGAAACCCCGTCTCTACTAAAAATACAAAAAATTAGCTGGGCATGGTGGCAGGTGCCTGTGATCCCAGCTACTCAGGAGACTGAGGCAGGAGAATCGCTTGAAACCGGGTGGCGGAGGTTGAAGTAAGCCAACACTGCCTCACTGCACTCCAGCCTGGGCAAGGGAGTGAGACTCCATCTCAAAAAAAAAGTTCTATATTTTTATTTCAGTAGTGGTTACTTGGATATGTGTGTGTGTACATGTGTGAGTTTCAAGTTGTGTAATTCATCAAGTTGTATAAGAATTGTTCACTTAGTCCATGTATTTTGTACTTAATTTTTGAAGCACTTTTTTCTGTATAGGAGTTACATGATCTATTCATTTTTTGTCTGAAAATCTATTAATTGCCCCTGGCTTCTTGTTCTTCATTTCGTCCCTTGGTAATACACCTCCATGTACGTTATGGGTTCAACTCTGCCATCTTTTTTCCTCCCTCCACTCCTTTCATCTTTCTTTCCTCTCTCCTATCTTTTCCTTAACAAATATTTTGGAAAACCTGCAATATCCTCAAATATGGTAGGTACTAGGGATTCAAATGAATTGCTGAAATGGGTATTGTCCTGCTCTCATGGAGATTAAATTCTAGGAAAAGAGACTTAATAGTTTTCAGAAAACTCAAATAAATTGAGAAATGATAAATTGTGCTAAAGGTAATGTGGGGTTGTGAGCAAGGCAGTGAGTTCACAGATGGTTTTCCTGAATAAGTGAGCATAGGTGAATGAAGAGGGGAGGAAGACACTGGCTGCATAGCATACATGTGGACAGACACTGTGACCAGAGGAAAACATCAATATAAAAGAATAATGTCCCCCCTACTGCAACTGGCTTCACCAAAACAGTACGCTCTCTGTTTATCTATGGCCTCCATATAAATTATTCCACCTGTATATTTTTCAAACCTGATCTTAACTGATAAGAGTGTTAAACCTTATTGTTAGCTTGTCTTAGAATAAGTTATAGGTCTTTTTTTTCCACTTTTTCAGTATAATCTCTAGACTTTCTCATATATATCTATGACTTCAATGAATAAGTCTTCAAAGATTTGTCCTAATTCTAACTCTAGCCCAGATTTTCCCTTTGCGCTCCAGATTTATAAATCTATCTGCCTTCTTGATGTCTCCAGGGTATATAAATATATCCAAATTGGAAAAAAAACATCCTCTCTGCCCCAAATCCCCCCAAATTGGCCTAATTACTAGTGTTCCCTATTTTGGTATCACGTCTGTTCTGACACAAAGCCAGAAAACTAAAATTTAACCTGGACATCTCTTTATTCTTTATGTTCCACATCAATATATTTCCATGACCTTTCAGATAACCTCTATTGTTTAGATTAAATGTTTCTCATACCAATTCATATTTCTTATTTTAATTGTCATTATCTTTGTTCATTCTACATCTCCTCCTTTACTGTGGCCCAACACACTTCCCAATAACTTCTCGTGGTGCCTGATACATGATAGGGCCTGGCTAGGTACTTTGCAGGGGCTAGGGAATGGGATAGTCGTTTCCTTTTAATCATATATAAAGCAGAAAATTTTCACTGAAAACATAGTATATTTATAATATTTCTAATTGAATAAAAGTTTTATATGTTTAATAAGTTCATTTTTATTAAAACTGATTTATTTATACAATTTGACATGCATTCTGTGGAAATGATAGGCCAATGACCCAAATTACATCTGCACAGATATTGTTACTGGGGTAATTGCATTCCATATTTTCTTGTATGTGAAGATGTGTTTACTAGTAAAAATGGATATATTCATCTTTGTTTTTCATTTACCTTGTTTAAAAATATAATGTCTGCTATATACCACATTAACTTCTAAATTTATAATTCTTAGCAAGCATCATTAATGCTGCTTAAACCAAAGAATGATCAGAGCACAACTGTCTCAACAAACATCTAAATCCTTAAATTCTATATGGTTGCTATTTTATTTTCATAACTTGTATTTCTCAATTGTCTTTATCTCTCATTTATTATTTCCAAAGCTTCTTCATGTAACCGTTGAAACATAGTTAACATGATTGGTCCTGACACTTGGTGTCCTTGAAGAGTTGCTTGTGATTGCGAAGTGTAAAAGTAAGGTGAGTTGTGTATATTTTGTGATTCTCCTTGAAGATTAGATTATTTTCAAGACAGACTATTAATAGTATAAATACAAAGTTATATAAACTTAGGGAAACACACATGCATGCAGATGTACACATGCATACACACACACACACACACACACACACACACTCCCTAAAATAACACACTAGAACATATTTTTGAGATACGCATCAGAAGCTTGTAGAGGGCAAAAATTCATTCATCGTGCTTATATAAAGTCAATGCCAACATTTCTAATGATTCAGGTGGCTCTCAGTACTCCTTCCCGTCTTTCCCATCATAACATCCTTTTCCTCATTTACAGGTGGACTTGATGGTTTGCTTGGTTTCCTCCAAAGATGTCACACCTTGCGTAAGCCTTTGAAAAACATTGACAACAATTTGTCTTTACCAAATATTACATTAGAATTTGAGGGCTTTTTGATCTTTAACTCATCATGATAACTTTTACCTCCATATTCCGGAAAATGTAAACAGTATTTTGAAAATTTGACCATCCTTATGGCAAAGGATTCATAACCAGAATATATAAGGAGCTTAAAACATTCAATAGGAAAAAAAAATCAAATAATCAAATTCAAAAATGGATAAATATCTGAATAGATATTTTTCAAAAGAAGATATAAAAATGGTAAACGTGTATATGAAAAAGTACTCAACATTACTGATCATCAGAGAAATGAAAATCAAAACTAAAATAGGATATCATCTCACTCTAGTTAAAATGGCTATCTGAAAAGCAGATAATAAAAAATGTCAGCAAGGATGTGAAGTAAAGAGAACCCTTGTACACTGTTGGTGGGAATGTAAATTAGTACAGCCACTACGGAGTATAACATTATGGAGGTTCCTCAAAAAACTAAAAATAGAACTACTGTATGATCCAACAATCCCACTGCGAGGTATATACCTGAAAGAAAGGAAATCAGTATATCAAAGGGATATCTGCATTCCCATGTTTATTGCAGCACTATTCATAATAGCTGAGGTTTGGAATCAACCTAATTGCTCATCAGCAGATGAATGGATAAAGAAAATGTAGTATAGATACACAATGTATTATGCAGCCATAAGAAAAAAAAAAAAAGGTGAGATCCTGTCATTTGCAACAACATGGATGGAACTGGAGGACCTTTTGTTAAGTGAAATAAGCCAGGCACAGAAAGACAAACTTTGCATGTTTTTACTCACTTGTAGGAGCTAAAAATTAAAACAATTGAGATAAAGAGTTAAAGAGTTGATTGACAGTTACCAGAGGCTGGAAAGGTTAGTGGAAAGTGGGAGAAGTGGGGATGGTTAATTGGTACACAAATATAGTTAGACGATATGAATGAGATCTTGTATTTAATAGCACAACAGAGTGATTATGGTCAAATATAGTTTATGATACTTTTAAAAATAACAAAAAGAGTATAATTGGAATGTTCATATCACAAAGAAAGGATAAATGCTTGAGGTCATAGATACCCCATTTACCTTGATGTGATTATTACACATTGTATGTTGGTATCAAAATATCTCATGTACCCCATAAGTATATGCACCTACTATGTACCCATAAAAATAAAAATAAAAATAAAATAAAAATGAAAATTTGGCCAAATTTTTAAAGTAGAACTATTTCTAGAATGAAGCAATAAACTATTTGCCCATATAGTCAGTATAGTGAGGGCCAAGACTGAACATGAGCTGTGAGGCATCTTAAGGGCCGTAGAATGTCTCAGGTACTTGATTATGTAACATGGATACAGTGTAGGGGAAAAGAAAGATACAGTTTCTTAACAATATACTGTTGTATTCTAAAAAATTCCAAGACTATCAGAAAGTAAGTAGATTGGAGTTAGATGGCCACATCAGTTATTAATCATTCATTACATCCACAACTATTTATTGAGATCAAATCAAGAAACTGATCTGTCATGTATGAAAAGGTATGAATAAGAATCTTTGGATTGGTAAAGATAAGTATCAAATTAATCTATACTAACTATTTACAGTCATCCCTTAGTATCCATGAGGGATTGGTTCAGGACTTCCAAGGATAACAAAGTCCACAGAATCTCAAGTCACAGATATAAAATGGCATAACATTTGCATACAACTTACGCACATTCTCCCTTATATTTTAAATTATCACTACTTATAATACCCAATATAATGTAAATGTTATGTAAATAGTTTTTATATCATATTGTTTAGAAAATAATGACAAGAAAAATGTCTGTGCAAGTTCAGTGCAGACATAACCATCCAATTTTTTGGTCCCGAAGTATTTTTGATTCAGGATTGGTTGAATCCATGGATGCAGAACCCATGGATATGGAGGGCTACTGTACTCTCTTTATATATTTTATATATTCATACATACATAAATATGTATACCCATACACACACATCTTCCTTTCTCTTTTATTATAATAGGGGTGTTTTTGAAATTGGGTTATTAATTTTAATGTTTCTCAGAATATCCTGAAATAAAAAAAGAATGTGATCCAGAAATAACAAATTTTAACATAAGGGACTCTGCTCTATGAAATAAAGTATTTTGGGGTATACTTTCCAGATGCATAATCTATTTTTGTGATCATAAATACCATATTTTATATAGCAGATATAAAGGTTCAGATGGGTAAAGCATACTTCAATGTCTATGAGTAAATTAATACAAAATATGAAGAAAAAGTGTTTCATTTTCTTTGTCATATTAAAATAGGCACAGACATGCCATGCTATTTACAGAATCTGAAATCAAATTCTCAAATTTTCCTTTTATTCCATAGTATATTTTGGGGGGAGGATAAGGAAGCATTGGATAATCACAATGTTAAAATATGGTAAAACATGGAATCTAACATAAAAAGTAATTTTGTCCATGAGCTTTTAGGTTTACATTTTTTGTCAATTTTATCTTCTTTTTAAACTGTATGTTACATTACAAATACTGAAATTGCATCATTAAATCACATTTTTTCTTCTTTTATATGTCAGTTACCTATTGAGAACAGATGTTATCTCTACACATTAATGCTTACTCTGAAGTCATATACTGTAAGCTTAATGTACTGAAAAAAGAAAGAAATAAAAATGTCATCATATTTTAGCTGAAAGTAAAGTTTCATCAAAATGATATTATAAACATATAAAATTAAAGCAAAAAATATAATGACCTAATAACACATCTACAGATTTCTTGGACATTAAGAGATATACTAAAAAGAATTGACAATGTATTTCCCTCAGTATGAAATCTCTGCTTATTATCTGCTTGATCTACACAGTTAAGATAAGTCAGACCAAATTTCTGTTCAACTCAAGTGATGTCAGTTTTTAAAGTGGTAAAATGGCTCTGCATTTACTCTTAATAAAAAAAGTCTTATTTTCTTTTTTATACAACAGATATGGTGTTTTCAAATAAATTTTACTAGTAATTGTAAGATGGTATGAATCTGTATTATTTTTACCCATTCAATTTTTACTTCCCCTTCCATTTCTTTTCCTATACCCCCATTCCCTTAAGTTGCAAGCATTTTGAATAGATTATTTTAGGAGAATTTTCAAAAGAAAAAAATATGTCATTAAATAACAGTAAATAAGTGCTCTACTTTATGTTAAGTCATATGCACAATGGGTTTTATTCTGCCAAACACGGATAGAGAAAAAAATAGCACTGCAGAAATTTTTCTGCCTTTGGGGTGGAGGAAAGTACCTATTCTGTCAATTATTTCATTTTTTTTCATTATGGTCCAAGAAAGAAGAATTTAATGCTTTTTTAGATGTGAATTACAAATGTCATATTTTCTGAGTCCATGTGTTATGTATGCCCCACACGCAGAACAAATAGTTGTATAATTGGTGTTTTTAAGAACATGGAAGAGATAAGTATACTTAAGTCACTAAATTTGGGTCATTTCTACAAAAATGATATGAAAATATGGTATCATTCTTCATATTATAATAGATTTTATTCGCCCAACTAAGTCATAAAATCAGTTTTTCTCCTATTTCAACTTCTTCAGAATGGAATACAGCATCTGCATACCAGACCTTCATGACTAGATGAGAACACAGATTATTTCCAGTTAGGATTCTCTGGGAAATTAAGTATACAGAATGGAATTCTCTAAATCAGAATGTTCATAATATGAGAGTAAAAACTGCTTTGACCAGAAACCAAGTCTCTTGTGTTTCACAAGTTTAGTTTAACAAAAACAAAGCTGCTTTTGAAATCCTGAGCTCTGCTCAATTTCTCAGCTGTTTTGTAGCATACTATGATTTCATTCATTCAATAAACTAGAGATGAAGGCCATATTAAAGTACAGATACACCTTTTCTCTGACCAAAATACATGTTCCTCCTCTAAGCCTTGGACTATCACTGTGATTTTGTATTACTTACAATAATACATCTATTACATATTATACACCCACTGAGTCTTCAGTTATGTAGGAAAAATTCATCATCAACACAGGAAATACACAAACACATAATTGTATCCTTTAGTAAAATATCAACTGCACAGAGAAAGAAGAGTGCATTTCTTAAGGTCTAAATTTACGTAACTAACATTCACAAGAGTGAGAAGAGGTTGATACTGTAATAATGGGATAATCAGAACCTACATAACTCTTTTACAAAAATCCCCTAATTTATCAACTCAACAACTAACTTCTATATTACTCTCATCAGTAATTTCTCAGTCTAATCTATTTTTATAATCTGATCAAGGGCCCACATCATATTGTTCCCACTTGGAAAAAATTATGTTTGCTCAATTCAGACAATCAAACCTAAAGAGAAAACTGAAGGAAATTAAAAAATATATAAGCCTGAGTTAATGTTGTAATAAAAGACCGAGAAGAAAAGATCTATTTGTAAGTGCCTGAGAATGTAATTTCTTAACACATATTCCTTGGCCAATAAAATGTGAAGAACATGTTGATCTGATGAGCCCGTGGCCTTCATAATGCTATTTTTGGAAAATAAATGGAAATATCGTATACTGAAAGGAAATATCTTGGAAAAATTCTCCAGAAACTGCTTTAACAAGAAATAGAAACATTATACTAATCTTTGCTACATGTCTAACTCATGAATTGTATTTTAGAGACTTCATTTATCCATAGTGCACAATAAATAGTACAGATATTTGAATATTAAAAGTATTGTTTTCCTTCTGAAAATTATTTTAGTGTTTTATTTTGAAAATTATTTTGAAATTTTTTGGAAAATTACTTTAATGGGTAGGGATTTGGATTATATTAATATTATAGTATATGCAACACACTGATTTTAATTTTCCCTTATTAAAAGGTAATTTAGTGGTTATGACAGCTAATTATTTATTATAACTAAATGCAAATTAATTTTACTTTTTTTAAAGTATATCCAATAATGAAATCCAAAATTACCCTTCATTAACTCATTCTAATTTCAAGAGTATAAATAGCACTCTACTTTTTAACATATTGTATATTATAAGAAAATGGTGTGGACCTTACAAGTGAAATTTACCTACATATTTAAGTATAAAAGATTCTGAAATTTGTTTCTCTAATTATAAGCAGTGATTTAGTAGCAGCCTATCAAATAAATAGAAATTGAATTCCATAAAGTAAAACCGAATCATTATGAAATCCAAAGCTTTACAATATGCATTTTAGTAAGAAAATATGCAGTTTGAAAAGCCTGTGATATTTTTGTTTTTTTGATATAAAGTAAACTTGGTACATACTAGGAAGTCTATAAAAGGATTTCAATTAGGTCATTAAGTTTTGACAATTAATTTTGAATTGTTCTCTATTTAAGTAAATATAAATATACCTCCATTTAAGTAAATATGACTATAAATACAGAAAAAAATTACAACATTATGAATCGTGGTTTAAAAATGATAAAATAATTTAGTTTTGATAAGCCTGTACAATGATATTTAAGTTTTTACTATTTTGAAAATATGCTAGGTTCTAAAATTCCACTTATACGTGATGTGCTGCAAGTTAAAAAAAAGTTGCTAGGCAACCTTTAATGACCACACAAAGCAGCTATAGTATCAATATTGATTAAGTCCATCTGAGCACCACACACACTAAATAAGTTGGCACATTTTTCTCTAATTTATGTTGATAAACTAATTTCTTTTTTTTTCTATTTTTTCTTTTATATATATATATTTTTTATTATAATTTAAGTTCTAGGGTACATGTGCACAACATGCAGGCTTGTTACATATGTATACATGTGCCATGTTGGTGTGCTGCACCCATTAACTTGTCATTTACATTAGGTATATCTCCTAATGCTATGCCTCCCCGCCCCACCCCCCCTCCACCCACAACAGGCCCTGGCATGTGATGTTCCCATTCCTGTTTCCAAGTGTTCTCATTGTTCAGTTCCCACCTATAAGTGAGAACATGCGGTGTTTGGTTTTCTGTCTTTGCGATAGTTTGCTGAGAATGATGGTTTCCAGCTTCATCCATGTCCCTACAAAGGACATGAACTCATCATTTTTTATGGCTGCATAGTATTCCATTGTGTATATGTGCCACATTTTCTTAATCCAGTCTATCATTGTTGGACATTTGGATTGGTCCCAAGTGTTTGCTATTGTGAATAGTGCCGCAATAAACATATGTGTGCATGTGTCTTTATAGCAGCATGATTTATAATCCTTTGGGTATATACCCAGTAATGGGATGGCTGGGTCAGATAGTATTTCTAGTTCTAGATCCCTGAGGAATCGCCACACTGTCTTCCACAATGGTTGAACTACTTTACAGTCCCACCAACAGTGTAAAAGTGATCGTATTTCTCCACATCCTCTCCAGCACCTGTTGTTTCCTGACTTTTTAATGATCGCCATTTTAACTGGTATGAGATGGTATCTCATTGTGGTTTTGATTTGCATTTCTCTGATGGCCAGGGATGATGAGCATTTTTTCATATGTCTGTTGGCTGCATAAATGTCTTCTTTTGAGAAGTGTCTGTTCATATCCTTCACCCACTTGTTGATGGGGTTGTTTGTTTTCTTCTTGTAAATTTGTTTGAGTTCTTTGTAGATACTGGATATTAGCCCTTTGTCAGATTAGTAGATTGGAAAACTTTTCTCCCATTCTGTAGGTTGCCTGTTCACACTGACGGTAGTTTATTTTGCTATGCAGAAGCTCTTTAGTTTAATTTGATCCCATTTGTCAATTTTGGCTTTTGTTACCATTGCTTTTGGTGCTTTAGACATGAAGTCCTTGCCCATGCCTATGTCCTGAACGGTATTGCCTAGGTTTTCTTCTAGGGTTTTTATGGTTTCAGGTCTAACATTTAAGTCTTTAATCCATCTTGAATTAATTTTTGTATAAGGTGTAAGGAAGGGATCCAGTGTCAGCTTTCTACATATGGCTAGCCAGTTTTCCCAGCACCATTTGTTAAATAGGGAATCCTTTCTCCATTGCTTGTTTTTGTCAGGTTTGTCAAAGATCAGATAGTTGTCAATGTGTGGTATTATTCCTGAGGGCTCCATTCTGTTCCATTGGTCTCTGTCTCTGTTTTGGTACCAGTACCATGCTGTTTTGGTTACTGTAGCCTTGCAGTATAGTTTGAAGTCAGGTAGCATGATGCCTCCAGCTTTGTTCTTTTGGCTTAGGATTGACTTGGCAATGTGGGCTCTTTTTTGGTTCCATATGAACTTTAAAGTAGTTTTTTCCAATTCTCTGAAGGAAGTCATTTGTAGCTTGATGGGGATGGCATTGAATCTATAAATTACCTTGGGCAGTATGACCATTTTCACGATATTGATTCTTCCTATCCATGAGCATGGAATGTTCTTCCATTTGTTTGTATCCTCTTTTATTTTGTTGAACAGTGGTTTGTAGTTCTCCTTGAAGAGGTCCTTCATATCCCTTGTAAGTTGTATTCCTAGGTATTGTATTCTCTTTGAAGCAATTGTGAATGGGAGTTCACTCATGATTTGGCTGTTTGTCTGTTATTGGTGTATAAGAATGCTTGTGATTTTTGCACATTGATCCTGAGACTTTGCTGAAGTTTGCTGAAGCTGCTGAAAGCAGCTTAAGGAGATTTTGGGCTGAGACGATGGGGTTTTCTACATATACAACCATGTCATCTGCAGACAGGGACAATTTGAATTCCTCTTTTCCTAATTGAATACCCTTTATTTCTTTCTCCTGCCTGATTGCCCTGGCCAGAACTTCCAACACTATGTTGAATAGGAGTGGTGAGAGAGGGCATCCCTGTCTTGTGCCAGTTTTCCAAGGGAATGCTTCCAGTTTTTGTCCATTCAGTATGATATTGGCTGTGGGTTTGTCATAAATAGCTCTTATTATTTTGAGATCTGTCCCATCAATACCTAATTTATTGAGAGTTTTTAGCATGAAGGGTTGTTGAATTTTGTCAAAGGCCTTTTCTGCATCTATTGAGATAATCATGTGGTTTTTGTCCTTGGTTCTGTTTATATGCTGGATTATGTTTATTGATTTGCGTATGTTGAACCAGCCTTGCATCCCAGGGATGAAGCCCACTTGATCATGGTGGATAAGCTTTTTGATGTGCTGCTGGATTCGGTTTGCCAGTATTTTATTGAGGATTTCTGCATCGATGTTCATCAGGGATATTGGTCTACAATTCTCTTTTTTGTGGTGTCTCTGCCAGGCTTTGGTATTAGGATCATGCTGGCCTCATAAAATGAGTTAGGGAGGATTCCCTCTTTTTCTATTGATTGGAATAGTTTCAGAAGGAATGGGAGGAGCTCCTCCTTGTACCTCTGGTAGAATTCATCTGTGAATCCATCTGGTTCTGGACATTTTTTGCTTGGTAAGCTATTAATTATTGCCTCAATTTCAGAGCCTGTTATTGGTCTATTCAGAGATTCAACTTCTTTCTGGTTTAGTCTTGGGAGGGTGTATGTGTCGAGGAATTTATCCATTTCTTCTAGATTTTCTAGTTTATTTGCGTAGAGGTGTTTGTAGTATTCTCTGATGGTAGTTTGTATTTCTGTGGGATCGGCGGTGATATCCCCTTTATCATTTTTTATTGTGTCTATTTGATTCTTCTCTCTTTTCTTCTTTATTAGTCTTGCTAGTGGTCTATCAATTTTGTTGATCTTTTCAAAAAACCAGCTCCTGGTTTCATTGATTTTTTGAAGGGTTTTTTGTGTCTCTATCTCCTTCAGCTCTGCTCTGATCTTAGTTATTTTCTGCCTTCTGCTAGCTTTTGAATGTGTTTGCTCTTGCTTCTCTAGTTCTTTTAATTGTGATGTTAGGGTGTCAATTTTAGATCATTCCTGCTTTCTCTTGTGGGCATTTAGTGCTATAAATTTCCCTCTACATACACACTGCTTTAAATGTGTCCCAGAGATTCTGCTATGTTGTGTCTCTGTTCTCGTTGGTTTCAAAGAACATCTTTATTTCGGCCTTCATTTCGTTATGTACCCAGTAGTCATTCAGCAGCAGGTGTTTAGTTTCCGTGTAGTTGAGCAGTTTTGAGTGAGTTTCTTAATCCTGAGTTCTAGTTTGATTGCAATGTGGTCTGAGAGACAGTTAGTTAAACTAATTTCTAAACAGACAAACAAAATCCTTGCTTTGCTAGATCTGGAAGGTGTTACATTTAAGCAGATTATAGTTTTAAAACTATTAGCACATTTTTTACTTACCCAAAGCCTTGTAGCATGTCAAGACGAGTGTAGTATACAATCTATTATACAAGATGCTGCTAATGTGCAGAGTATTCTTAAATTAGCTCAGTGTCAAAGGGGAATAGAGTAAACCATACATTTTGGCCAGCTATCCCTACTAACAGCAATTGTTTAAAACCTACATTTTTTATTTATTTTTTATTTTTTTTGAGAGTGTCTCGCTGTGTCACCCAGGCTGGAGTGCAGTGGCATGATCTTGGCTCACTGCAACCTCTGCCATGCCAGGTTCAAATGCAAAGTCTACAAATTTAAACAACACTCTACAAATCTACTTTCAGGAATTAAAATTTAACTTAAAATTTAAAATATACAGGTAAAAATGTTATTTTAAAAACTATGTTATCAAGAATTCAAAATTAGTTTAATATTCAATTTTCCATTTTTTTCTGTTGAATACTTGAAAATGTTTTACAGCTTCAAATGCTTACTATAAATTTTATTGTGAGAGATAAGATTTTAACAGACTTCATTGACTTTGGGAAAAATAAGCTAGTTTTCACAACTTCCAGAAGGGAACAATGGCTGAGTTTCACTGGAGATTCTGATCCAAAGACGAGAGAGACAAACCAGGAACATGTTCTCATGAAGTGCTGAGAATGTTTCTAAGAAGTACAGCTAATAAACTTCAATAAATTTTAAGATTTGTAAGACTTATATTGAATGGAAGAAATGATGCAAAATAGAAACCAGTTATTATAATATTCCTGAACAAGGGAAAGAAATAAATAAAGGAAAAATAAGAAAACTGAAATAAAAATGGAAAACGGAAAGCTATTGCAAGGTAGAGGAAATTCTACTACTCAGCTATGGAGCAATGTTTATAATGCAAATAAATATATCTATCCTTATCGAACATGGGAGTTAGATTTTCTAAATATAAAGCAATATTCTATTGAAAGAAAATGGATAGATGGACACCATTAGGGAGAACGAGTAATATAAAATAAGAGTCAAGGGAAGACTCCTAATTACTAATGATACCCTAATTACAATGAATCTTATGACATAGACAAGGAACTTAAGCCTTCTGGAAAAGTACATTGAACTAGGGGAATTTTAAAAAGTCTATTGCTAATTCATATAAATACTAATGACATAATTAAAAGGGTCAGAGAAGCATCTTTATGGGTAGGCCAGGGAAGTTAACTGAAGGACTCTGCAGAGGAGACGGTGTCCTTCATTTTCATTACTTCCTGTGTAAAGGATCCGAGAAGAGAGAACTGCAGGGTGAACTCGGCTCTAGGCTCTCTCTTATTCTATTTCTATGATAGTTTTTTGAATTCTTGAAAACAGATTATAGCTTTCAGTTGTTTTTCTTTGGTTTTTAAAATTACTCTAAGTATAGATATTAATGTTGCTCATATAGTTTTGTATGGTATATTTAGTGGTTAAGAAAGAGAGGTCTGAAAACAATCTCTCTAAGATAAACAGTCTTCCTTCATGACTAAATAATTGGATGACCTTGGCCAGTCGTGGTGGCTCACAACTGTTGTAAACTTGAGAACAGGAGTTTAAGACCAACCTGGGCAATGTACTGAGAACCCCATGCTAAATAAATAAATAAATAAATAACCTTGAATAAATTCTTAATTTCTCCCAGATTCAGTTACCATATTTATAAAATAGCAAAAATAACAGTAACAACATCACAGTGGTGTTGAGATAACTAAAGGCAATAATTCTCAATTTCAACCATACAATAAATGTTCAACGATTGTTAATTTTATTATCATTATTCAGGGTTTTTATAGTTTCATCGTCAATATTGGAAGACATTTTTGGAAACTTGTTCTAAAAACATCAGAGAGATTCAGCACACTTTTTGCTAGAGTTGAATAACAATGAATGACGGTGAGCAAAGGCAAATATGTCACTGTAAAATCATTATTGTACTTTGTAATCTTATCCTTCAATTATGGCTTCTTGTAAAACTTTACAACTTTAAGTTTGATATGGTTCAGAACATATGAAATCCCTTTCTATATTTATAGTAGAATAACTATTGTTAACTATTTGTGTTTACATAATTACATGGAACTCCAGGATTTTTACTGATAATTTTATGGTAACATCCATTTTCTAATGTTAAGGATGTATGTAAGAGTATGGGAAGGCAGAATAAAGATAAAAATGTAATTCAAATAATAAACACAAAGTAATTGTCATAATATATAGGACTATGGGCTACTCCACAGTAGGACTGAGTAGACTCTATCTAGAGCCCTGCTCTATGTCTGCAAAAAGCAGTGCTCATTCATTGATCCAAGTTTGGAAATATGCTACAGATCTAATGGATGAAGAAAAAATGGGGAATTTACAAAGTAAACAGCAGTATGGGAGTATATTACTGTACAACTAGCTAGAGCAGGAAATAGATGATATGCCCTGATCCAGATCACCATCCTGCCTCAGAAGCTAAAGTAGCAAGGGAAGAGTTAGTTTACGGACATCTGCTGAAATTCTCTTTCAGCAAAATCACATCATCTGACAAATTCCTGACACACCTTATTTAAAATTCTATGCATCAAAGATAAAGGAAATGAATTATTTGGAGAACAGCTATTCTGGACCTAATTCCAAACCAACAAAGAACTGATTCATTAAGTGAGAGAAATAGAAATCCTGAGAGAAAACAGTTCAGTGATCTAAAGTTTCATGACAGTTCAGGAGATAGAGACTAGATTGTCACTGCTTTTTCACTCTCGGACATTCGAAAATATATACCCAGGTGCCTTTGCCTTAAAGGCAAGTGCTGATTATTTTTGGTGCATGTTCTTTCAATTTTTCACCCCAGTTCTTTAAAAACAAAAGTTTTAACAGCTTTCTTTAGATCTATATCTATCTATAAAATATCTATACAGATTTAATTGACCTAAGATTTTTAATTTTGTATTTTTTGCCTTCAATTTTATAACACAAACATGTTTCCACTTAATTATGTGGAATTGGCCTATTGTGAATGGCTTCAGTACAATAAACTTTATGGTTTAGACAAATTGTGATTGTAACTTTCACAACTATTCTGCTCCTCTTCTATAGCAGCTGTGCTCTTTTTGTGATATTGTTATCAATTCCAGCTCCCTGTATAGTCCTGATTGGTCTAGGCCAATCTTTCTCATAGTGTGATCTAGGGAACTCTAAGCTTCCTTAAGAACTTTTCAGGGGCTCTGCAAGGTCAACATTACTTTTAAAATAATATTAGGATATAAGCTGTTTCTTCCCCTTTCATTCTCTTGTGAGTGTACTGTGCAGTTTTCCAGAGGCTACAGATGAGTGCCATCACCACAGATTGAAAGCAGATGCAGGTATGAGAACCCATCTATTTAGCCAGATGTTATGGAGATGTTCAAAAATAATGAAACAATGGTACTTGCTCACTAATTCATTTTGTTTTGAAAATATATCTTCATTAACATATGTATTGGTTAACATATGATTTATTATAGTTGTTAAATGACATAATAAATATATATTATAAAATATCTGTTTTAATTTCCAGTACAGTAAATACTGATAAACATAAACAAAACCTTTTAGGAACCTCAGTGATTTTTTAAGAATGTAACTAGATTCTGAAATCAATAAGTTTCATATACTGACATAATCCTTAGTCATATTCCCTTAAAACATTCCCTGAAAACACCTTGTACATTGGCCTTAAAGAAACAAAATACAGAGACACAAATATATAAAACGATTTTTTCAAATAAAACTTTTAATTGTGTTATTAAGTATTTACTTCTTAATTCAATTTCATCATTCAAGCTTAGAAATCCATCACCCTTTTGGATTACAGCTGTATTTATTTATTTTTTTAGAATTTAAAAAATCATTTGAATTTTTACATTTAATTATTTCAGCCACAAAAAGTATATTGTTATATTGCACAATAAACTAAATATTTATTACCCAGAATGTATTTTGTTATGTGACATGGGAACCTAAGCATTTATTGTACTTCCAAATAGCAAAAAACAATTTTCTACTTGCATTACCATGCTGTCACTTTATTTCAATTAATTATAGATTAGAGGCAAAATTTATTTTATAAGAAAAGGGGAAAAGTAACCAAAAGTAACATTTGGAACTAAAAGAAGTTAGTAAATTCAGAATAAACTGTGCAGGTCAGGCAGGCCCTGAGGCCGTAGAGAGACTGAGGAGTGAGAGAAAAAAGAACAAGAGAAAAAAAAAAAAAGAGGTGGAACTGTAGAATTGTTTGCATTCTTGTAACCTCAAGAATGAGAGCAGTTAAAAACACAGAATGCATCTGACCAAATAAAGGTACAATTCTTGATCAAAGCTGCATGGTGCATTAACTCTATTCCCAGCTGTCCAGCAATAGGACCCTGCCTTACCATTACCTTGTGGTTATGGCACTACAAAGGGAATAAAAAAAAATATGACAATTAAATAATAATAATTAGGAATAGTAATATAGGAGATAAAGTCAATTCAATCCTGTAGGGAGAATTGAGGGGTGTTTGGGTGGGGTTTATGCCACAGGAAAATAAATGATGTTGTGACAAGGAGAAATAGTTACAAAAGTCTACGTGCCAGAGAGAACATTATCTTACCCAGTTTACTCAAGTACTCATGTTTGGAAAGAACTATCATATATATTAAAAGTTTGGAACCAATAAAAGATGTTCTTTTGGTGCCTTTATGGTTCAGAATAGTCTAGGTATAAGTGCTTTGTTTGAGCTCTCTCTCTGCATTTATTTTATAATGCCCACTCTATACTTGAAATAGAGGCTGAAAGTGTATTACTTGTTCAGTGTCACAGAGCTCATAGGTATTGAATGCAGGATTCAAACCCTCATCTCTCTTTGTCTCCAAAATTAATTCTCTAAATGAGTTCTTCACTTTTGCGAAGACTTCTTTCTCAAAGTAAATATGACTGTATCTCATACTGTATTATTATTATTTTTTCCACTGATCTGCTTGTTTAAACTGGTAACCACATTTTTAATATGCTGACTTCTAGTTATTTATTATTCATCATATTAACACTTTTATATTCTTACTTTTTTTTGCTGCAACAACTTCAAAATCACTCTGATGTTAGTCTTAAGTGAATTTTTATGTTTAACATATTTCTATTTACAACCAAATCTAGACACAATCTGATATTGAGAACTGCATGAATATCACAAGATAATTATTCTAAGAGATTGTGAATAGATAACTCATCTACAATAAATAACATGAGTTTAACTAATATTTAAATATTTTATCTTAAGTTAAATTATAACATTTAAATTATATCATAATTTACATTTGAGTAATTATAACATGGTTATGAAAACATAAACTAAAAAAAGTGGAGACACTACTTTTTAACTAAATGATTTAAATATCACATTTGTCAATAAGGAAAAACAAAGGCATTTGTACTACCTCTGAAAAGCTTTCATTAAACCTGTCACAGACAGACACATTATTATTTTTATAAAAGACTCTTGACCTGTCTATATGTCAAAGACCTCCTTCTCCATTAATTTTTTTACTTCACTTTACCCCCTCTGATTTAATTTTATGTTAGCCAACATAGTACACTTGCTTCAGAAATGAAAACTTACAACATCATATATTTACTGTGAACCTAGTAGTAGGTTCCACAGACCTGAAGTAGGCCCACGAAATACATTTTCAACTAAAGCAGAAATATATCATCCCATTATAAAGGTGACAGTATAATGGAGAAACTTAAGCATCAAACAAATAATTACAATTGTAATAAGTGGTACAGTAATATAATATTAAAATTATAAATGATGATGACATGATCAGTATTCATTTACTAAAACAGTAAATTACTCCTTTTTATCAATCTGCTATAATCAAGTTTCTAAGCAAACCACTGTAGTGGAAAATGGATTCTTGCTAACTAATTCTCACTTCATCCTCTGTGATTCCGTGCTACACTAAAGCATACTACAACCATACTTTACACTCAATCAAGGAAGAACATGGAACACATACTCTTTCTGCCTTAATAGGTGAGCACTCCAAGGCAGAATTACTTAAGTCTCCCCAAGAGATTCACTTGGTTCATCCATAAACAACAACTGAGAAAAGGCCTTTCTGTGCAACAAAAATCCACATGTCATTTTCTGAGGTGTTTTAAAGTGATAGGCATACTAGTGGTAAATTGCTATTCCAACACTAACCATATAAAAAAGATATTCAAATCTAGCTACTTGGTTATGCAGGATTTTTTTTCTTGTGCTCTCACTTGATTCTATAGGCAGATATCTGAGAGTTTGTTCCAGCAATTCAATGTTCTAAAGAATTTGCATACACTAAAATGCCTTTAATCTTAAAAAAAAAAAACCTTAATTTTTGAATAAATTGAGGTGCAGAGAATTTAACCAACATGTTCAGGGGCTTGACCATTTATATATGACATATGTCTCTGAATCTGATTCATAGACAGTTCAATTAATGTCCTCAAGTAAGGGTCAGCAAGGCCCCTCTAGGAATTGGGGCTAGAGTAGAAGTAAGAAAGACATTTTCTAATAAAAAATAAACGTATAGGTGAGATGTGGAATTACCAATTATGAATGTATGTCCACAATGTAGTTTAATTACTTAATTTTTCATCTTAAAGAAAGAGGCAAACAAATGCTACTTGATTTAATTCAGGTTATATGCCATTGCCTTAAAAGGAAGTATTATTAAAGTAGGCCAGTGGATCCTCAAAAATAATCTACATAATTTGTTTATGTCTTTAAGAATCCTAAATATATTTAAAGAGCTAATGTATGTGCATAATTAAAATACCGCTTCTTAAGAAAAAAATCGCCAAACAATAGTTTTGCCAAATATTTCTCTTGATATTCAAATGACAGATTTGCCACAGATGATCAGAAAAGATGGTGATCTAGTATAGCTCCACACAGCTCTTCCAGTTACTTCAGAGAAAGAAGACTGGATGTGAGTTGAGGCTTAACAAGAGCCTAAGATTTTGATAGGACTTGCAGAGAGAAAACATTTCAGACAGGAATAATGGAATGAAAAAGGCAGATAGGTGAGAAAGCAAGACTTGCATTTGGAATAATGAGTAGACCTATATATATAGGTAGAGGCAGATCCGGTTGAAGATAAAGATGGAAATGAAACTATGAAAAAAATCTCAAAAAGTAAGCTAAAGAAACTGCATTGAATTCTTTGGAGTGTCAAAAAATTTCCCTTAGTCAAATCTACAATTCTGTTTATCTAAAAGAATCTTGAAGAAATCTTAGCTTTATAAAATATTGTACCTTCTGATGGACACATTCAGTAAATACATAATAATTTTATAAATATTCTATGCTAATTACTAAATATAGAAACATCACAAAAGTAGAAGTAATGCTTTCAAGGATGTTGTAACTTGAGTATATAAGTGAGCACAATGTAATGTTATAGGTGCTATAGAAATTAAATTTATAACATAAAATATTTAAGCTCACTTATAGATAACCCATGGTATTTCTAAAAATAGGTTATAAGCTTCAAAAATTCTATTTTTCTTTACAACTTTAAAAATGGTCTGCAGATTCATTCACCATAATGTTAGTAAATCTTGCTTAACAAAACAGTGAGCTTCTGAAAAGAACTCAGTTTTTTTTATGAAATTTAATCCTTTATTTTGTATGCAATCCAGTAGAAAGTGACCCGCATGTCACAACCACTTATGGATATAAATCATTGTCATCTTTGATGAGTTGTAATTAAAAACATGTTATTTATCTTTGTAATGAGGTTTACAAGGATAAAGATAATTTTAAAAGCAAGGTAGTTATTTTATGCATCACTTAAAAATTATATCAGTAGGTCAGAATTTTGGTTTGGCTTTATAGTTTTATGTTATTGTTTTAATGTACTGTATAATGTATTTATACAGTACAAATATAGTATATACATATAAACATACTGGCCATATAATGACCAAAGTAAGATAAATTTAAAGCAAAAGATGAACAAAAATAAGCATCTTACCTAAATGACTAATAGTTTCTAACAATTATTATTATAATTAACATATAAAATGCATGTTAATTCTATATAAGTAATATATACAATTTATCTCACCTTGATTATTATATAGCAAGTGTGTATGTATACAGATACACATATACAATATATAGACACACATATTCACTATATATATCTAGCATAAATATATACACAAAAACACATATATAGGCTATATAATAACAAGTGTAAGATAAAGTTATATATAACTTGTATACATTTGTGTATGCATAAGTCACTGGATTTTATATCAATCATGAATCTTCAGTATAGATTTTCCATCAAATATATATCCAGCCCAAAAACTGCAGATCTCACTAGATCACAATGTTAATTCATCTCATTGGGAATTAGTATATTGATGTTTTCACTGGAAACAATAAACTCATGTTGCCAAAACTGAATCCCAGTGGAAATCAAAAATATAGAGATGGACAGATAAAATACACAAATCTATATCTGGAGTCCAGGCAAAACTTCAAACCAACTTAGAGCCAGACATTTTATGAATTTGGGATGTCTGGAATCTTTCTTATAAATATGTATTTTAATATCCTGTGTTCTGTATGGACTTATCCCTAATACACCAAAGTGCATTATTATCTTTCTTTGGAACCAAGCAGAAGAATCATTTTTAGTCATTCCAAAGTTAATAATGAGCTGTTGAAAGTGACTTTTGGAATTCAACGTACTTTTTTTTCCATCAGTTTTGTAACTTCAAGTGACAAGAACAAAGGCGATACTGTTTATCACCATTTCATAAATAGAAACTGAAATGTAGCTTGTTTAAGAGAGTTGCCATGAAGTGACAGACTTGGTACGAAAGAAGAATCTAGTCTTCAGATGATTATATTGAACAGTCTTTTTAAGAAATATATTCAACCCCCAAATTCTGCAGACCAGGAAAGACAACACATTCCTAACCTAGTTGTTTGTAAATGTTAATTCATTTATTCAAAATAGATTAGTTGAGCATCTAGTATATTTCAGGTGAAAATCTAGGTACTGTTTATAAAATGGTGAACAAAACAAAGACTCACAGGTATGCCATTTTAGAAAGAGGTGACAGGTATTAAATATATATTTATATATATAATAAAAATAACATCACATTGTATTAGTAATTAGTAAATTAATATTTTTATATGAATGAAAATTAGTAATATAAATATTACTAATTTTCTTTCAGATCATGGTGAGATAATTATCAACTGAGATGATTCAGAAATGCAGCTAGGTAGAGGCTGGACCTGTTATTTAAAGGACATATAAGCTTTTGTCAAGATGGAAAGTCATACCAAATAGGAAAGGAAGCTGCAAAAACAAAGGTAAGGATGTAGACTGCTTTTGGAATTGTGGATTGAATGAATAGGTTAACCTGATTGAAGCGCAACATTTTAATGGGCATAAGTAGGAGAAAACCTTAAAGAGGTAGAATGGGACCAGATTCTTGAGAACTTGGAATAGCAATCTTAGGAACTAGTAACTTATTCTGCAGGCAAAGGAAGCAATTGCTGGTTTTGAGTATAGGCATAAACTGATAAAAGAAGTTGTGTTTAAGAATTTATAGGGATTTAATGTGATAATATATGTGAGTCACAATCCATAAACTTTGTTTCCACACTGCACCACGCATGTTTCATAGCTCCAGAGCCTCATTAGAGAATGAGCAATGTGTGTACACATAGGCCAATACCTTATATTTTAGCATAAGTTTCCTTCCAGATTTATATAGTTTAGCAGACACCTCTTAAGATAAAATATAAAATATCTATGGAAATCATGAATAATTTATAATTTCGTGTAAAAGTTAGATTTGATAGGCCTCAAATACAATTAAAAAGAAAAGGTTAGAAACATCTTGGTTGCTCTGTTGAATTCCCACTTTAACCATGTGCCAATTCTAGTTTTTCTTATTGTCTCAAAGCCATGCCAATTTATAAATATTTACCTTTTCAAGGCATTACATTTAATACACATTATTTTGTTTAGACCTCAAATATACCTTTATAATGTATATTTTTATTCTCATTTTATAGGGAAGGAAATAAAATTCATAGGGATGAAGTTGTAAGATGTAAAGTTTCTTTAGGGACAAAAATAAGGAGACATACAATGGTAATTACATAAACCACAAGTTAATATAGCATGTTCTAAGGCAGAAAAAAAGATTCTCAGTTCCCCTAAGTTTTTCCATGCTAACAACAGCTATGGATGAAACTACTAATTCATTTATTTGAAATAGATTAGTTGAGTATCTAGTATACCATATAGAACATATAACCATATAGAACATGAGAATGGATGATGGAGGGAGAGGGAGGAGGTAAATAGGTAGGTATATAGATAGGTAATATGTATATCTACCCTATCTAACATATATACATGGATGTACATTCATATAGGTTAGAAGCACTGGGTCACATCAGTAGTTATTGACAGAAACTCCTTCCAGTAATATTAGGTTTGTGCAAATAGATTTACATTGTTTTTTTATTATCTTGTTCCTTCAGAAACTTTTTACAGAATCAGATATGCCTTTCTGTACCAGCACGTTGATGTTTACTAGTGAACAACATATAACATGGCTCAGAGACTTTAATTTATGTCATATAGTATGGGGGAAGTAGACAGTTGAGGAATTTAAGACAATAAAATTGGAACAGTAATCATAATAACATTTAGAATTGGCAATTATCTTTAGTTTCCACCCAGATGCAGAATACTTGAGTTTTTTAGAAAGTAATTTTCTAACACAAAATTTTGAATTTTTATGTAAATTTGGAAAAGCATTTAGGTCTTAATTGTTCAGACTATAGCATCAACTCATAATTAAGATATAAGAAAATAAAATATTAAATCATGGAACATAATTATATCCATCTCATTACTTATATCAAGACAAGCCCTATATCTCATAGAAGTTGAGAAACAATATTATAATATATATTTGAATTTGAAAAAATCAATAAACACCTGATTGGATTTTTCACTTTGCTTTTAGGTTGTTATTTTGAAGACATTGGCTTTAAGAATATAAAGATGTTAATCTCCTTAAAACTTTTTCGGTTCCACTTAAAGTCAAACACCAAGCAAAGAGTCATATGCCTTTTAAAGATGAAGGGTTTCCTCACACTTACCTGCTAAAGGGCCTCTTCTTGATGAATAATTCCCTTTGTTATGTTAGACTGTCCCATGGATGGTTTTTTTAAATATTCTGGAAAGCAAAGCAAACAAATAATTTATAAAGTTTGAACTTTGACGCAAACTTGAACCTTCTTAGTAAACTGGTTTAATAAACAAAAAAGCACACTTCTGTCCTATTGCCAGCAGACTCTTCCATGACACCTTGGAAACATTACTGATCCTGTCTCTCAGGCATCGTTAACCTCTTTGTTCTCTCATCACTAGGCACTCAGAGCACTATTATCTCCCTCACTTCTTCCCAAATTGGATTCTCAGAGATTATTTCCACTATTTGTGTGTGTAAATTTGGCTCATGTCTTCTCACCCTCTGTTTAGCTGCCTTATCTTTTTAGACAAAATCTGTTCGCCCTCTTAACTGCTTTGGACATTTCCGGCTATCTTCTTTCACACTCTGGGGCTGTGACTCCCTCCTTTAATTTCCGGTTAACTCACTGTGAGTGAGTATTAGTCAACTTAGCATCTGGTTACAGAGCAACCAAGCTATTTTTCTTACAATTATCCTCAAATGCTCTTAAACTTAAAGGCTTAGTGTTTTGGCACAAGTTGAATAGGAATTCTGGATTCTACAGTTATCATGCTTATGTGACAGAGCAACCTCAGATTTGGAGGCCATGGCAAGAGGTTGAGTGGGTGGATACAATGGTGACTAGTTTAATGAGTCACTCATTGAGAGTTTTAGTGCTGAAAACTGCATTCAGAGAAACACACAAGTGGTTCTTAAAGGACATAGGCAAAATCATTTCATAGGTAGAAATCACCTGACCTGAAATTAAAACATCTGCAGCATGCCCTCTCTGTCTCAGGAAATCAAAAAACTTCATAGTACCCCGTGACCAAATAATTAAAAATATAGGTTAGTTTTTAAGTTTAGAACCAGAATATCTTTTCAAGTAAAAACTCAGTTGCTTTGGTGCTAGCTTGTATTACTGGCACTACTTCTCACTTCCGTCTTATCTCCATGCTTTTTGCCATATGAGTTTGCCACTCTTCCCTCAAAGGGGAACAGCATATTTCCCCACTCTGGCTATGAATTTCATCATGAGACTTGCTTTTGCAAATAGGATGATGTAAAAGTGACAACATGCCAGCTCCAAAAGCTGAGTCCTCAAGATATGTTGTATGTTTCCATTCGCTCTCTTGTCCTTTTGCCGTCACCATAAAATGTACATACCTGGGCTAACCCACTGGTTTCAAAAGAATGATGAAAAATACATGGAATGGAGAAGCCCTTGCTAAGTTGCCCCAGCCAAGCCCAGACTAAATAAGTGTCCCCAGTCAACCTGTAGAAACTAGAGTGAGCTCACACATCGGATAACTCCAGTGGACCAAGCTGATGGTTTCTTTAAGGCCACCAACTTTCCTGTAGTTTGGTATTCCATAATAGCTCTTCAATACATGTTGAATAGAATCATTTTTGAAATAAGCACAGAAATCAGTCATCTACAACCTTGCCCAAATTCCTACTTCATCAGCGTTACATGGACATATTTTCAACTAGGCATCTCTTAGGAAATGTCCGCAGTCATTATTAACAAAAAGCAAATAGGGTCAGTAACTTTTTATTATGGACTAAAATAACAGATATTTTCTGAAATAATATGAGATCAGCCTGACTTACCCCAAAGTAAATTTATATTTTTGATCACACAGTAATTTATGAATAAAAGTAATTTATAAAATCATGCCTTTGAAACGTTGGCAAAGCTCTAAATTTGTTCCTGAATTTCCAAATGCAGACAGTACATCATGGTGGTTAAGAATAGAATTGCAATAATACAACCAAGGATATAAGCCCAAATGTGCTACATATATTTATCCTTGGAAAATAACTAAGATTTTCTGAGCTTCAGATTTTTATTGCAGAGGAAGTTAATAATAATAACATTCAATTTTCATATAATGCATACATAGTACTTTGTCTAGTGTCTGGAAAATAAAAGTGAGTACTAACATTTTCCAAGAAAGTTTAAGTTACATTCATTAACATTAGTATTTACTATTTTGTATTATATTTTTTAACAAGTAGTTGTTGAAAATATGGCATGAGATGAGTTTGGCTTTAGGTGACAAGAAGATTAGCAAGGAAGTCCTCAAGTTTGAAGAAAGGGCCCAGCTAAAAGAGTCATTGAAAAAGCATGGTCAACAAGGCCTGGTCATGAGATCACGGGAGAGGAATGGATTTCAGGCAGCATCTCATGGGCAGAAGCCCAGAGGAGAAAACAATGTAAATAGAGAATGAAACTCATGCAAACTTTAAGACACTGCATGTCAATGAGAACAAAAGTTGGTAATTGATTTGTGAAAGACAGTATGTATCAAAAATGTGAATGTGTGTATCCTTTACCCAACAATTCCATTCAAAGAATTCTTTAAAATAATAGCAATAAATATGTGTGCAAAGATATTTATACCCAAAGATGTTCACTGATGCACTGCTGATAATAGTGGAAGTAGAAAACTTGTATGTCCATCGAAAAATATATTTAAGTCAATTATTGAATATGAACACTGTACCCATTAAGATACATATATTAAACACATATCTTTCATACACTTACATTTTATGAATTGATGTGTGTGTGTGTATGTGCATACGCAAGTACAATGAAATGTTTAAAAGGACAATGACCATCTAGTTTAAAACTGTCTCTGGTTTATAGGTGTTGTGCTTATATTATCATCTTTATAGTGATCTGCATCTATAGTTAAGCTAAAATAATGATCTAAAATTGTTCTGATCACAAAAATATAACAGTAAACCATTTAAGGTATTTCTAAAAGTATTCTTTTAAGAGAGAAGAGTTGGACTTAGATGTAAAAATGGAAAAGCAAGCTTCTAATAATATAATTGGCCTAGTGGATTGGTAACTTTGTAAGGTTGATGATAGGTATATTTGGTGGAAGTAATTGTTTTTAAAGTATATGATTGACAGTATATAGGGAATCAGAGGCTTAACTGTGCTTGTGAGATGTATGTAACTGGATCAGCCACTCTGCCATAGCCTCTGCATGTGACAGAACCCTGTGCACTATGACTCGTTATCTGCAATCCTAGGGAGGAGACGTGTATGTTTGAAGCATAAATTGGTACTTCAAAGAGACTGTTTCAGGGAATAAGTAATATTTTATTTTATTTTTTATTTTTTTGAGACCGAGTCTCACTCTGTCACCCAGGCTAGAGTATAGTGGTGCCATCTCAGCTCACTACAATCTCTGCCTCCTTGGTTCAAGCTATTCTCCTGCCTCAGCCTCCTGAGTAGCTGGGATTACAGGCACCCGCCAACACATCCAGCTGATTTTTGTATTTTTAGTAGAGATGAGGTTTCACCATTTTGGCTAGGCTGATCTCGAACTTCTGACCTCATGTGATCCACCCACCTTGGCCTCCAAAAGTGCTGGGATTACAGGCATGAGCCACTGTGCCTGGCCAGAAAAAGTAATATTATTGAGGGCATTGAGTGCGCAAAGTACCAAGCTCCATTCATTGTTCACGTATGCCACCTTATTTGTCTTTCTAATAACCCTATGTGATGACTGCTGCCAGTCACTAAAATCTTCTTCAGTATCAGGGTTGAACAGAGTGCTTTGGGGAATTATTTCATTTGATCTATATGCCAATCCAATGTGGTAGGTATTCTTTCTTTTATTAAAATTTATTCTTATTTTTATTTGACACATCATAATTGTACTTATTTTTGGGGTACTGTATGATATTTTAATGCAAAGATACCATGTGTAATAATCAAATCAGGTTAATTAGTATATTCATCACCTCAAACATTTATCATCTTAGTGTTGGGAATATTCAAAATTCTATCTTCTAGCTATTTGAAAATATACCAAAAAAAGTTAACTGTAGTCACTATAGTGTTGTTAACTACTGAACACTAGAAATTATTTCTCATATTTAGTTCCAGTTTTGTACCTGCTAACCTGTCTCTTCCTATCCTTAATCTGCTCTACACTTCCCAGCCTCTAGGAACCACTATTCTACCCTCTGCTTTTATGAGATCAACTTTTTAGCTACCATAGGTGAGATAAAACATGTAGTATTTACCTTTCTGTGCCTGACTTATTTCACTTAACATAAGGACCTCCAGTTCCATCCATGTCCTTACATGAATGATAGTATTTCATTCTTTTTATGGCTGAATAACATTCCACTGGATATATATTAATAGACCAGTTTTTTATTCACTCATCCACTGATGAACGCTTGGGCTGATTCCATATCTAGGCTATTGTGAATAGTGCAGTAATAAACAGGGATGCAGACATCTTTTTGACATACTGATTTCCTTTGGATATATACCCAGCAGTGGGATTGCTGGATCATAAGGTAATTCTATTTTAGTTTTGTTGAGGAACTTTCACACTGTTTTTTATGGTTGTGCTAATTTACATTCTATCAACAGTGTATAAGAAGTGTTGGCCGGGCGCGGTGGCTCACGCCTGTAATCCCAGCACTTTGGGAGGCCAAGGCGGGCGGATCACGAGGTCAGGAGATCGAGACCATCCTGGCTAACACAGTGAAACCCCGTCTCTACTAAAAAACACAAAAAAATTAGCCGGGCGTGGTGGCGGGCGCCTGTAGTCCCAGCTACTTGGGAGGCTGAGGCAGGAGAATGGCGTGAACCCGGGAGGCGGAGCTTGCAGTGAGCCGAGATCGCGCCACTGCACTCCAGCCTGGGCGACAGAGCGAGACTCCGTCTCAAAAAAAAAAAAAAAAAAAAAAAAAAAAAGAAGTGTTCACATCTTCACCAGTATTTGTTACTCTTTCTCTTTTTAATAATATACATTTTAACAGGTTTAAGATGACTTCTCATTCTGGTTTTGATTTGCATTTCCCTGATGATTAGCAATGTTAAGCATTTGTTCATATATTTTTATGATGTTTGTGTGTCTTCTTTTGAGAAATGTCAATTCAGATTATTTGCATATTTTTAATCAGATTTATTTTTATGTATGTATGTATGTATGTATGTATGTTGCTCTTGAGTTGTTTGAGATTTTTGTATATTATGGGTGATAATCCATTATCAGATGAATAGTTTGGAAATACTTTCATTTATTCTTTACGCTGTTGCTTAACTTTATTGTTTCCTTTGCTGTGCAGAAGCTTTTCAGTTTGATATAATCTTACATGAGTATTTCTGCTTTGGTTGCTTGTATTTTTGAGATTTTCTCCATAAAATCTCTGTGCAGATCAATAATCTGAAACATTTCCCCTATGTTTTCTTCTAATAGTTTCATAGTTTCAGATCTTATATTTAAGTCTTTAATTCATTTAAAGCTGATCTTGGCATAAGGTCAGAGATAGGGGTCTAGTTTCATCTTTCTGCTTGTGGATATCTATTTTTCCTAGTACGACTTATTAAGGACACTGTCCTTTCCCCAATTAATGCTCTTAGTGCCTTTGTTGATAATAGCTCTTCAACACACATTGGATAGAATAATTTCTCAAATAAGCACAGAAATCAATTACTTACAAGCTTGCTAATGTTGATAATCAGTTGGCTGTAAATATATGGTTTTATTTCTGGGTTCTCTATTCTGTTCCATTGGTCTATGTGTCTGTTTTTATGCCAGCACTATGCTGTTTGGGTTACTATAGCTTTGTAGTAAATTTTGAAGTCAGGTAGTGTGGTGCCTCCAGCTTTGTTCTTTTTGCTCAGAATTGCTTTGGTTATGTCAATGTCTTTTGTGATATTCTTATTTTGTAAATAAGGAATAAGGGACCCTGTTTGAAGCTAAGTAACTTGCCTGAGGTTGTACAATATTAAGTGGCATTGCTGGAATTTGAATCTTTACAGTTTGATAGATAATAAGCTTAGATTTTTATTCACTGATCTCTGCTACCCATCATCAGAGAAATAATTTTTTATATGGAGGTGTCCCAGGGAGAGGTGTCCATCATTGGTTCAAAGTGGAAAACCAATTGAACTTCAGCTGTGACTCAACAGATGGTCTAATTTATTCTGGAGGACCTCCATGTTATTGGTGGTGAATCATTCAGTTACTGCTGATCAAAATCTATTTACCTGAATATAGCCATGTCTCCAGTAACATGTGGTGCTATCTTAAGGGATACAATTTATACTTGTCCCCTCGGGTTCATCTGATCACCTATCTCAAAGCCTTTCTCCTTGGCCAGAAGAGGGTTCCTCTCTTTAAAAACTTTCCAGTAATGGTAATTTCAATCTCACACAGTGGTGAGAACAGATTATCTAAGGCAACAATGGATAAAATCTAATTTTCCAATATTTCTGGGTAAATGAAGTTATCCATAATGTCATTCTATGATCAATATAATTATATTAATATTCAAAAGAAATCTAAAATTTCTTCAGTTTATAAATAAACTAAAGAATATATATACAGTGGCACTATTTACAATAGCAAAGACTTGGAACCAACCCAAATGCCCATCAATGATAGACTGGATAAAGAAAATGTGGCACATATACACCATGGAATACTATGCAGTCATAAAAAAGAATGAGTTAATGTCCTTTGCAGGGACATGGGCGAAGCTGGAAACCATCATTCTCTGCAAACTAACACAGGAACAGAAAACCAAACACCACATGTTCTCACTCATAAGTGGGAGCTGAACAAGGAGAACACTTGGACACAGGGAGGGAACATCACACACTGGGGCCTTTCGGGGTGTTGGGGGCAAGGGGACGGATAGCATTAGGAGAAATACCTAATGTAGATGATGGGCTGATGGGTGCAGCAAACCACCATGGCACATGTATACCCATGTAACAAACCTGCACGTTCTGCACATGTATCCCAGAACTTAAAGTATAATGTTAAAAAAAGAATATATATATATACAGTGAATTTAGACATGAGAATACTTTTTATATAACTTAGACTATACTCATTTAAAAACTCAAAATGTAAATTGGAAGATTTTATGTGGATCTACATTTATTATTTGTTTTTTTCTGATCAATAGGAAAATTAAGATCCATGACTCTCTCTCTCTCTCTCTCCATATATATTTTTGTTGTTGTTGTTGTTGTTGTTTTGTTTTGTTTTTTTTGAGATGGAATCTTGCTCTGTCGCCCAGGCTGGAGTGCAGTGGCACAATCTCGGCTCACTTGCAAGCTCCGCCTCCCAGGTTCATGCCGTTCTCCTGCCTCAGCCTCCTGAGTAGCTGGGACTACAGGCGCCCGCCACCACACCTGGCTAATTTTTTGTATTTTTAGTAGAGACAGGGTTTCACCGTGTTAGCCAGGATAGTCTCGATCTCCTGACCTCATGATCCGCCTGCCTCGGCCTCCCAAAGTGCTGGGATTACAGGTGTGAGCCACCGTGCCCAGCCGTGACAATATTTTTAATTATTTATTCTAAGTTTTAATGAAACGGAGGAAGCCTTAAGTTTTTTCACAATTTTATAAGTTAGTTTGTAATTCATGGAGTTAATTTATAGCTCTATGGTTAATATCTCCAAAGCTTATCTAACACAAGTGAGCACATATATACAAGATGAAGTATACGTTTATAAGGAAAAAGTATTGACATCAAGGATAAACGTTTCTCAGACTGAATTGTCCCCATTGACCAAATTCAAGAGTAAAATTCCAAAGAATTGAGGAAACTACCCATGAGAGACTCTGTTTAACAGGCACATTACTGAATTCATCTATAAAACATATGAACATAATTGTATCTATTTATAAGAACAAAGCTTCAATTTGAGGAAGTGATCAGGTTTTGAAAAATATCCCCTAAATCACCCCCTTATTTCATAACTAGAATGAAATGACAAGACTGAAGCTGGGGAAAAAAAAAGAAAAAAAAGAAAAACAACAAAACTAAAGCTCTTTGTTCATCGAAATTAATATGGTAAACCCATGTCATTTTTGTAAACAATAAATTTCAAAGTATTGGTGGCTTTTTCCTTCATATGTTACTGCTTACAGTATTTTTCAATTAGGGACAATTTGTTACAAGCAAGGCAAAAACACTGGCAGTATGACTCACATACAATGGCTAAAAATATAGTTAGATTTGTTTGGCATCTAATTTGGGGCTATTTTAATTCAAATATTAAAAACGTAAATGAAAGTTATGTTTTGGAGTGAGATTGAGTTTAGCATATTGGACTTTGGAAATCTTATTTCTATGAACTACATGGCAATATGAGAAATTCCGTGGCAGGTTTTGTGTGCATTCAAAAAGAGTTCAGCATATGTTCCCAAATAAATGAGACTTATTTTCTGCAATATATTTTAATTATTTACATCATAACAAAGTATCATAAAGATGGCCCAGTAAATGAAAATAAAGAGCTATTTTCCTGGATTCAAGAAAAGAGATTTGAATGATTAATGCTGTTGCTTTAAATGCTTTTAGATCAATAAAAATGTACATTGTCCCAGGTGTACTGGAAAACTCAAAAGAAGGATAAACATGAATAATTCCTATGATATGTTCACAATCTAGTTTGATAGCATAATTAAAATGAACAAAATCTTCATGCACAGCAATTCAGTAGAACTATCACAGAAGTTCTTTTGTGTGATATGGGTTACAGGAAAACTCTGAGTACTATTCAGAGGAGGTGATGGTTTTCTGAAATGGAATTTATGAGCACATCTTGGGTAGGCAGTGGAAGGGTGAGGACACTGATGGAGATTATGAATAAATTCAAGAAAAGTGAATGGAGTTAGCATAGGTATTAGGTTTCTATTGATGTGAAGAAAAATTAACAGAAAGTTAAAAAGTTAGTGGCTGAAAGCAACATAAATTTATTATATTACAGTTCTATAGGTCAGAAGTCTGCAACTTTAACTAAAATCAAGGAGTCAGCAGGGCTGAGTTCCTCACTGGAAACCCTAGTGGAGAATCCGTTTCACTTCTATTTCCAGTTTCCAAAGGCCTCTCTCTGGTCCATGCACAAAAACCCTTAACTTTCAGAGTCAGCAACAGGGAGTTCAATGTTTCTCATGCAGTCATCTCCCTTTGACCACTGCTGGGAAAGGTTCTCTGCTTAAGGAACTCATGCAATTAGACAGGCTTTACCTGGATAATGCAGCATAATCTCTTCATTTCCAAGGACTTTACCTTAATCAAACCAGCAAAACTCCTTTTGCCATGTAAGGCAACATATTTACAGCTTCTGAGATTAGAACATGGACATCTCTGGGAACCATCGTTATTGCCTACCAGATCCTACATATAGGATGGAATAATTTTCCTTTCTTTCGTTCTTGGAGTTTTCCATATTTTAAAACATTGCCCTTTACACTTTATATTAAGCTAAACTCTACTCAATAAAGAGAGGGTGATTCTAATTTGGGTGTGGAGATTGGAGGAATGGTCATGGTGGGGAGAAAAATAAAGACCTTGCTTTTAATTGTTTTCTGATTTGTAGCAGGTCAGTCATGGTGTTAGCCTAAAAAATTTAAGCTCATTTTCATAAAAGTATTCTAACTTGAAATTCCAACCTCATCCATATAATAATACACATTGACCTTGTTGGTCATGGTTTACAGATGGGAAAACAGGTGGACTGCTCTTGTTTTGTCCCCAGTCATCTAAATTACTTCAAGAATGAGGACTAATGTCTTCTGCAAAACAGTCTAACTCAAAATCTCTGGCCTTCAGACATCAAAACATACAGAAACCTAAATGTTTAACAAATTACTAAAGTACTCGATTTCTGCCCATCACCCTCTCTCCTATCCCTTTGGTCACACCTCCACACAGAATTCCACTATTTGATCTTCTATTTGGTCTACATTTGGGCTCATCCTTCTATATGCTATGGTATGTAAAGCCAATCCTGTCCAATATGGCCTAGTCTTTTTTGTCCAAGCCCAAATCTTGATAGAAGAGACTAAGAACAACATTCCTAACACGCAATAGTTTTGTCTTGAACCTCAGTAGCAAATACAGTTGATTGGATATTTTGAGGTCATTCTATGAAGAGTCTTAAATTTGGGGCAGATAATTTTGCCTTGATGAAGTAATTCATCAAGAATAAGAAAGTTTGAGGACTTACTTGATATTTTTAAACATTTACTTAAGTATGCATGTAAAAGAACAAGAATTGGGTAGTTGAGGGTAGGAGCCCAGGTGTGAGGTTTGTGCAGCAGTTGAGGCAATCAAGATTATGACAATTTCAAGAAGGACTGGCTTCATTCAGAAAGTTGTAAAAATTTTTAAAGTGGCACTTCTCCTTTCAAAATACATATGCCATTTTTTCTTTTCTTTTTGAGATGGAGTCTCGCTCTGTCGCCCAGACTAGTGTGCAGTGGCATGACCTCGGTTCACTGCAAACTCTGCCTCCTGGGTTCAAACAATTCTCCTGCCTCAGCCTCCCTAGTAGCTGGGATTACAGGTGCCTGCCGCCACCGCCAACTAATTTTTGTATTTTAGTAGAGATGGGGTTTCACCATGTTGGCCAAGATGGTCTGAAACTCCTGATCTCAAGCAATCCACCTACCTCGGCCTCCCAAACTACTGGGGTTACAGGCGTGAGCCACTGTGCCAGCCCTCATATGCTATTTTTATGTAAATGATATATTTTAGATATTAGTTTTTTATGTATGTCTCTGTGGGTGCCTACATGAAAAAAAATCAGAGATTGAATGAGTGACAATTTTACCATTTTAGATCCTGTTTCAAATTCAAATCACAATCAGTTTTTAAAGTTGTGTATGAATTGGCCTGGCACAGTGGCTCACGCCTGTAATCCCAGTGCTTTGGGAGGCCAAGGCGGGCAGATCATGAGGTCAGGAGATCGAGACCCTCCTTGCTAACACTGTGAAACCCTGTCTCTACTAAAAATCCAAAAAAAAAAAAAAAAAAAAAAAAAAATAGCCAGGCGTGGTGGTGGGTGCCTGTAGTTCCAGCTACTCGGGAGGCTGAGGCAGGAGAATTGCTTGAACCCAGGTGGCTGAGCTTGTAGTGAGCCGAGATCATGCCACTGCACTCCAGCCTGGGTGACAGAGCGAGACTCCATCTCCAAATCAAAACAAAACAAAACAAAAGTTGTGTATGGATTTCCCATATCATAAAAGCTAACTTGTGTTTAGAAAATGGATTCTAGATTACAATAAACATAATACTGGATTTTTTCCCTTATAATAGGTACGTGTAAAGGTAACTGGAATCACTGGAATAACTCTCAAACATTTATGTCATTATTCATTTTTAAAAAATTCTCTCTAAAGTTTTAGCCTAAGAAGATATGAATAAAAAAGAAATAACAAAGAAACCTTCTTCTACATTGCAAGCTATTAATTTTAATAATGAACTGGAGAAAACCAAGTTACTTTGTAATATATATTTAAGAAATTGAAAAATAATGAATGATAGAGTGTACTAAGCCAATGAACTTCTGTACTAAAGAATATTACATAATTTGGATAAGTATAATGGAATATTCTGACTAATAACTAACTTTATCAGATAGAATATTAAAAAATGGAGGTATGGATTATGAAAACAAAGTATAAAAACTGTTATCTTTAAATACAAAGGAACTTCCAAAGTACAGTAAATTTGAAAAAAAATTCTAGTTTACTTGCAACAGGATACTGCAATATTAACTTTTTCTTAAATTCACTTTCAACATTTTACTTCAAAATTACAGCTATAGCAAATTTACACAAGTGAAAGTAAGAATTTAATCACTGATGCAGATAATTCCAGCCCTTCACTAACCTGAGAAGGCATCTAATTATAATTTATTCAAAGGAGCTATTACTGTGATCAAATAGAACAGATTGCCATCCAAATTTCTGTGGTGTAAAAGGTATTTTAACCAGTTCATAGAACAAGAAAGTGGAAAAATATCCAATAAGTTATTTCTTCTGTATTATTCAATGCGTTTGTAGAAGTTTGTTGCTACCATGAACAAGATTAAAAGATCTCTACATCTAAACCAGTCATAATGAGAAATTTGGAGAGAAAACTTTCAGAAATTACCTCCTTACTTACCTTACGTATTAAGCTCTTTACACTTAAAAAATACATTTGTAAGCATTTAATATTAGACATGATCATGAATTATTTAAGAGACAGGTATCTCCTTTTTCCTGAGCCTCACAGAGATTTGGCTAAACACAAGTTCACTGCCTTCCATGTCAGTCAATTTAGAATATTTGGAAACCTCATTAATCATTTGTTGGATGGTACTTCTAGGACACGACTGTCTCAATTACAAAGAGGGACACATGAAAGTTAATGAGTCCTTTAAATAACTCATTGGTTCCTTGTTCCATTTATTTTTGAGAAGATATTAGAGCAGGGATCACTTTTTTATGACATTGGGAAATTAAAAATAATAATCATCTGTAGTTGTCATATTATTTTGATTTTGTTAAATGTGTTACATTTTATTTTAGGTCTGTGTATTACAGTGTCCTAAACATAGAAACTAATTCTACTATTGTGGCTTCTGAAGAGTAGGAAAGAGTCAGATTTCTAAAAATTATCATATGTAAGAACAGAAATAAACATATAAATCTGTTAAAAATATTAGTCAAACAAATTTTTCATTCTGACAGAAAGCAGAATTGTCTAACCATAATTTCCATTAAATATGGTAACAGAGTATGTTAGTCAGGAAAGGTTTTTTTATATAGTAATCTAAAAAATGTCAGAGACTGAATACAACAAAGGTTTATTTCTCATTCCTACAAGTGCACTGTACACTGTGGATTCCCATGACATCCCCAGGCCAGTATCCTGTGTGCAGTACACAGTGATTCAGGCAGCTTCAATCATGTGACTGTGTCATCTCTTGTCCTAACTTGGCAACAACTTAGAACAAGAGAGATATTGAAGAAACAAAAATGGGCCAAACTTTCCTCCCTTGAAATTTACACTCATGTTCACCATTCTTGAGTACGACTAGTTCTTTGCTCTTCCTAACCTCTGGAGCAAGGAAATGTAGAGGAATAATGTAATATTTAGAGAGCATTATTTGCAGTTGAAAATTGCAGATGAAACAGTCTGCAATTCATCTACAAAGAAACACTCTTAACTACTATCTACATGAGACAATTCAAAGGATTAATCCAGTCCCATCTCCAAGATCACCCAGAACATTGGCTGAGATGTGAGAGCTTCTATATCAGGTTCAGATGTCACTACTTTTGATTAAGACATATAAACTAAAAAGTCAAGTGAAGGGAACATCCACAAAACACACACACACACACACACACACACACACACAAACACTCAATTAAAATGGGGGAACAGACACAGAACAGATACCATTAGAAAAGGGGAAGAGTGAGAGGCATGTAGAAGTCACTAGTCCATAGACGTTTTGGTTCTAGCAAGGAGGCATTGTGAGGGGTGCTGAGCTGATGAGGAGTGCTCCTCCACTGAGCCTAGATTTGTCTTTTGGGAAGCCTTGAGTCCATGGTTGTCTGTGTCTCCTAGCTCCAACTTTAAGGATGCATTTCCTTGCCCATTATACTTGTTGTACCCATCAGAACTGGGTTTTGGGGAATGTCCTCTACTTGGAGTCCAAGGAGTTTTCCCAGTTAACTTCCTGCTCATGGAAACTTTTAAATCTGTAACAATCTTTTGTTAATGTGTGATCCAAACTCATCGTTTCATTGCTAGTACAACTTTCAAACACTCAGTAAGCTTTAATTTAAATCTTCATTATGAACCTGGAACATACCCAGATCTTTCTATCTTCTCCATCTCTATTCTTTTATTCCATTATTCATTCTCTCAATATAACAGGGTTACTAGAAAGTTGTTTGAATTTCCCAGAAGAGCCACACTCTTAATCTGATCTTTGCTCTGAGTTGTTATACCAAATTATTGAGTACCATGTCCGTAACCTATTTTTTGCTTTGATGCGGTTTAATCAATTGGAAATACATTACCAGACACTTATCTGTAAAGACCTTTTCACTCTTACCATTTTTTAGGACTATAAAACAATTATTTTTCCAACACTGAAAAGCTCTGCATTGGACTTTTCTCACCTTTTACAATTCTACTTGCAAACTAGCCAAATCTATTCTGAGCCCATTTCTTTCTTATTATATATTGCCAAATACAGTTAATAGCAGCTCACATACATGAACATTCTGCTTTTAAACCAAAGTCACATATTTGTCAAGTACATGATCTGCTGCTCACATTATTCTAAGATTTTTTATTGTATGAAATGTGTTTCCATTTTTCCAAAGTCACTAATATCAGTTCTCTCTCTGTTTGCTCACTGTGGGATCACTCAACTGATACCAAACATATTGTGTTTATTAAAATAACATCTCACTTCTGGTACTAATTTCTACAAAAACCAAGGTAAGCTGGGTTAGTTAGAAACAAAAAATGCCCATATCTCAGTGCTCAATGCAACAAAGGCTTATTTCTGATTCATTCCAAATCTGCTACATATTTGGGCACCTCTTTGGGCACTGTTTTTGCAGCAGCTCTGTAATCCATAATCCATGCTGTTTCGATGTTTTGGATCCACAACACAAGGCCTCCTAGTAACCACAGCAGGGAGGGAGACAGACTGAAAAATGGTGCCTGAGATTTCACTGTTTTAGGCCTGCAAGGAGACACATGATGCTTCCTCCCACACTTTATTCTCCAAAATAGTCATATGGTTTAAAATAATTGTAAGGGTATCTAAGAATGTAGGGGAGAAAAATGGAATATTCAGTTTTATTCTGTGCCACAAGAGAGAACACCCTCCCATATATAATTTTGCCTAAATCTTTGTAAGAATAGTCCTGTAATGTATTTACCTATTTTAAGATAGTAAATAACACTATCAAATAAAAAACAGGCAGTATATTCCAATACTTAAGAGTGCAGGTTCTTTTATAAAGTCAATTATGGGCCTGTAATCCCAGCACTTTGGGAGGCTGAGGTGAGTGGATCACTTGAGGTCAGGAGTTCTACATCAGCCTGGCCAACATGGCGAAACCCTGTCTCTACTAAAAATATAAAAATTAGCCAGGCACAGTGGCATTTGCCTGTAATCCCAGCTACTAGGGAGGCTGAGACAGGAGAAACACTTGAACCCAGGAGGCAGAGGTTGCAGTGAGCCGAGATCGCACCACTGCACTCCAGCCTGGGGGACAGAGCAATGCTCCGTCTCAAAAAAAGAAAATAATAATAATAATAATACAGTCAATTATAGCTTATTAGCTGTGTGATTTGGGGCCCAGAGAGGTTAAAAGAGATAATTTGTATAAACTACCAGACATCTATTCTGTATTTGGTGGATATTAGCTTTAATTTGGAAATGCACACTATTTGTATTTTCTCTTCTTTTACATAAATATTATTGATATTTAATCCACAGTTTTCTGCTGTATTAAGAATACATTTTAGTAGAACCTTGCCAGAGAAGTCTACTTCTTTTACCACTGCAATAAATAAATAAATAAATAAATAGATAGATAATAAAGCCACACTTGTTTGAAAACTTCAAATTTAATTGGGTTTCCTAGAATTATTTTAAATGCTCTGAAAATTGAAACACATGGTGTGACACCATTCTAAGAAAACTATTAAATTAGCGGAAAAGGGATGGTGAAGGAGAGGTGAAAAGGTTAGGAGAAGCACAGATTAAATTTAATGGCTCACAATATTTAATTTTGTTTTGGACAAAAACCTAACGGTAATTATGGTTAATTAATAGACACAGATGCCTTCAACATCTTATTTTAATACTTGGCAATAAGATTTCCTGCTTGATTTCTTTTCATTGGAAACTGGTTAAATAATACAGATACAGATAATTCTGCTCTAATCAGAAAATGGGTTTTGACTTTGAATCTGATCCATAGTCTGACTCTTTTATAGCCATCCTGACTTCTAAAGAAACAGATCTCTT
Organism: Homo sapiens; assembly: GCF_000001405.40. Classification (NCBI taxonomy): domain Eukaryota; kingdom Metazoa; phylum Chordata; class Mammalia; order Primates; family Hominidae; genus Homo; species Homo sapiens. The sequence continues at coordinate 84,387,741 of NC_000007.14, forward strand.
TAAAACCAGAAACTGTTAGAATGTAGACATGGTTGACATATTAAAACTCTACATTTGTTTGATCTTACTAAACAATTTGAGTTTATATCAACAGAAAGAAAGCTCACAGCTGCCACAACAGGCATGTTTACAATCATTTTAATGATACCATTAGATGTTGCTCTTCGGGGCTTGCTAGTCCAGGCTGTTATACAAAAACCATGTGAGATAAGTTTACCACCTCTGCACAATGGAAATAACCTATTCAGATGAAACATTCTAAACACAGATATAGGATAGAAGTCACCTCATTTCCTATGTTAAAATATTGCCTTTAAAAAAGATGCTTAAGGCAGAGAAATACCTGTCCTCTAAACCTATATAAATACACACACACAATAAACAGAGTTTTCCTAATCACAAAACATTTGAACTTCAATGCCTCTGGAAAAGTTTCTTAGTTGACAGGTGAGTACTTAGCTCATATAAGAAACATGAGCTTAAGCTTTTGCAAGACATTTACCTGGTTCTTAAGCCGTTTTGGATTCTGATATTCTCGGGGAAGTTGGTAGTTAAGTAACCATAACCATAACCTTTTATACTTCTTTTTAAAGAGGGGTGGAAATTGCTGTATGCTTTTTGAAGACTCAAAGAATTATAGGTTAATTCCTCCTGAATGCATACCGTTTTAAAGCACATGTTCTGTCATTTTTTAGCCTAGGGATTATATGAGTATTCTGTTCATTATACTTAATACCATTATTGAATAAATTCTTTAAAAAATTTTTCAATTTTCACTCTCTTGACTTGCATATACTTTCTATATTTCCAGACAACAAGGCTGCTATTACCAGAATTTGTAGTGATATTTTATTCAATTATATATGAATGTGGAATACAAAGGAAAACTGATTATACTTTTTTTACATGTTTTCTATGTGCCAGGAATTATACTTAGCCCTAGGAACAGAATTATAAATAATAGAAGCACAAATATGTTTTTAGTAATTTGTAGGTTATTAGAGGAGATATGGTATTTAAGGGACCTTCAGTTTCTTAAAACAAGCCCCGCAGCATTTCTCCTGAAATGTTGTATGATTCTAGGAAAAATTCCTGATTTCCTTAGCTGTTCTCAAGAGCTGTGTAGAAACAAAGCTTCGTTAGTATGATTCTAAGTGATTATAAACAAAAGTATGACATTTAATTGGAATACTTGCTTACTGTAATGATTATATGTAGCAATCTAGAGTATCAAAATCAAAAGCTGTCCTTGATTATTATAAAGGAACAAATTACCATAAGCAAATTACAAAAAGGAGACCTTATGAGGGGGAAAATAAGTAAAAGGGCCTTATTTCTATGCCTCAGGTTGTAAAAATTTGAAATACTTGTAGGAGAGTTCTTTGCAAGGAAAGCTTTTTCTGTCAGACACAAAATCAAATGAAGAAAAGCATGGTGGGAATTTTCTGGATTAGATAAAAATGGAGTCAAAGTTTATTTAAGCTTTGACCTTCTAGATATATTGGAGTCATCCCACTCATGAAAAATTGCTAAAGTGAATCTACTCTTTCTATGCTTCTCCCCATGTCAACGTGATGTGATCTCTGATTTCTCTATCAACTATTTACAGGAAGGAAGATTATTTTGTGAGTCTGAAGTATGTAATGATGCACCCTGAGAGTGCATTTGGCTTTCCTATCTATACGGCTTTTATGGTTTCATTTCCCCTTTTTGATTTTCAAGTATGTAATTGCGTAACTCAACAGTATACACCTGGTTTCTGAGTAGTGTAGTCCACGCTGGTAGGGAAACAATTCACAAATTTCTAAAGTCTTGGTAACATTAATATGTCAAATTTAAAAAACCTGTACAGAGATCCTAAACATACCTGCTAAATACAGATTGGAGATATCCTTCCTATATACAATACAGGATTCATTGTTTTAATTAAGTAATTATAGTTAGAAGCTTTAAAGTAGCCATTGTAGGGAAAGACATTAATTACGTACTTGAATGAAAATGTATTTCACTTATATTCCAGCTGCCATACACCAACAACAATTTTCTTTAAAAAGTTTATAAAATTATACAGGACTAGAATGAAGGAGTGTTTACGTTTTAAACTGAACAGATAAAATTGTAATCATCTAAAACTTTTTTTAAACCAAAATTAGACAGAGAGAAAGAGACAGATAAGTGATAGCCTGCAAAATATTTAAAATATATTCAAGGACACTCAAAACTTTATATATTTGGACATTGCCTATGCAAGCTTAGTTGAAAAGAAAGCTATCTAATTTCTTAACACTTTTGACAGTCTTGTTTCCACATGGTGACATATTAAACTCGGTTTGTTATGATTATTTTTTACCAAAATAACAGCCACAAGTATCCTCTGCATAAAGTAAAAACTAAATAAATATACAATAAATACATGATTGTGTTTTGGGACACTTTATATTCATAAACCAAGTGCAACCACTGGTTGCCTTGAATGTTCCATTAAGACTTGTAAAATTTCTTTCAAATCCCAATGCCGTTATGGTAGGAACACTCCTGCACATCTGGCAGTGCAAGATTTTTTTTTTTAATTGAAAAAGCTTGTGATATTCAAGAATTATTATTATTATTATTATTATTATTATTATAGCAGCTGGGAACCATTGCTGGGTCAATTTCAATGTCTTTTAGAATATTAACCCCTTTACTATGATAAATAAAAAATATTTCTGGTCATAAATATAATTTGTGAGAACATTATCTAGATTTTCTTTTGTTTTCTGTTTTTTCCCTGAAGTGCTACTGTGCTACTTGATTCAGTGTATATGGTAATTTTAATGTCACACTTGTCAGTCTAATACAGTCATAAAATCATGCGTAAGATTCTCAAGCCCTCAATAAGTGACAATAAGTACTGTGAACTGAACAACTGAATTGGATTGATACACATACCTCTAAATGTAGTAGTGCTGATAACAGGATAAAAAGAAGCAAGAAACCAACTATTCTTGCCTTCCAGAGACTCTTATTAAGATTTAGTGAAATATTTTCTCGAACTGTTAACTGAATCATTTTGGGATATAGATAATGTGCTAAAAATAGAGGCTGAACTGCTGGTGAATGAGGAGTTAAAAATCAGAATGGTGGCCTGTGTTTGGTTACTTTTTGAGGCTTTCAGGGTCAATAGTTAAAAGAGAATCATAAAGTTAGACCCGAAATGGTCAGTTTGAAAGCAAAGAGAAAAGTACATATGGTTTTGTTAACACAGGCCCTCTCTGCCTGTAGCTTGCAATCCAGGGTTACTAAGGGTCCACCTTCAAAACTTAGAGCTTGGCAGGGTTAGAAAAGTCAACTGTTTGTTTGCGAAGTTGAAGCTTGTATAAATGCTGGCATGGAAACATCAGCCTTATTAGGAGGATTCAAGTGACGTGAACTCCTCAGCACCTTTCATAGGACAAACCTTCTAGCAAAGACTCAATTATAAGCCATGCCTACATATCCTAGCTTAAATATGTGTCAGCAATTGATGTTGGCTATAGATACAAGAGTACAAAATTGATTAAAGGCAAATAGACAAGAACCTAGTAAAATCTGAGGGAAATACACTAGCAACAAAATGCTAAATCTGGCTAGGAAACATATGTGGAAATCCCTGAGCCTCCATGCTTGCATCAATGTGAAGAGGGATGCTAACACGGTGGATCCTATGGAAGAAGTCTCTTCCCCAGTAACCAGTTTAGATGTGGATGGGAAGGAAAATAGATAGAAAAATACCTCCCTCAGTGATAGAAGTAAATATTTTGGAACAGCAGGAACAGACAGATTGCCTACTCTGGAAATGTACTTCACTTCCAGGACAGGATTTTCTGCTGTTATTATCTAGCAGGGTAAGATATGTGCTCTTAATAGCATTTATTGTGTGTTTGCAATGATTCACTTGAAAAACATTTTAAAAAATTATCCATTGACAGGCCAGGCATGGTGGCTCACACCTGTGATCTTAGCACTTTGGGAGGTCAAGGTGGGAAGATTGCTGAGTCCAGGAGTTCAAGACCAGCTTGAGCAACATGGCAAAACTGCCTTCTCTACAAAAAAATACAAACGTTAGCTGGGTGTGATGGTGTATGCCTGTAGTCCCAGCTACTTGGGAGGCTGAGGTGGGAGGATCACCTGAGCCTGGGAGGTAGCCATGATAGTGCCAATATACTCCAGCCTGAGAAACAGAGTGAGACCCTGTCTCAAAAAAAAAAAAATCTATTGAAAAATTTTAGTTTTATATATTTATCGAGTATAAAGTAATCTTATAATTTTTGAATACAATGTGGCATTATTAAATCAAGCTAACCTTTCCATCACCCCAAATATTTGATGTTTTTGCGATGAGAACATTTGAAATTTACTCTTTTAGTGATATTGAAATGTACAATATTAAGTTATTAGAGGTATTCGTCATGCTGTGTAATAGACCTAAAACAAACAAATTTATTCTAATTGATGTTTTACACCTTTGATTATCATCTCCCTATTATTTCCACCCCACCAATCTCTCCTTTCATGAATTTAATTATTTGGATTCCACATATAAGTGAGAAACTTGTGATATTTGTCTTCTTGTTTGGCTTATTTCACTTAGTATAATGTTCTGCAATTCTATTCATGTTGTTGCAAATGATAAGGTATCTTCCTTGTTTTAGGCTGAATAGTATTCCATTGGGGATATATACCACATTTTCTTTATCTCTTCACCTAGTGATGGTCATCTAGATTGATTCCATACCTTGGCTATTGTGAATAGTGCTGCAATAAACATGGATGTGCAAACATCTATTAGACATACTGATTTTACATCTTTTGGGTGAAAACGCAGAAGTGGCATTGCCGGTAATTGAATTTTTAGTGCTTTTTGGCAACCTTCATACAATTTTCCATAATGCTTTTCCTAATTTACTTTCTCATCAACAGCATCCACATCCTGCTGACACTTATTAACATTCATCTTTTTAATAATAACCATTTTAACAGATGTGAGGTGTTAAATCTTTGTGGTTTCAATTTGCATCTTCTTAATGATTAGGTATGTCAAACAACTTTTCTTGAATCTGTTAGCCATTTGCATGTCTTCTTTTGAGAAATGTCTATGTAGGTCCTTTATTCATTTCTTAATCAGATTATTTGTTTTCAGTCTATAGAGTTGTTTGAGCTCCTTATATATTTTGGATACTAATTCCTTATCAGATGTATGACTTGCCAATATTTTCTACCAATCCTTAGGTTGTCTCTTCAACATTGTTAGTTGTTTCCTTTGCTATGCAGAATCATTTTATTTGGATATAATCGCATTTGTCTATTTTTGCTTTTGTTGCCTATGCTTTGGGGGTCAAATCTAAAAACTCATTGCTCAGAGCATTATTGTATAGTTTTTGCCCCTATGTTTTCTTCTAGACATTTTTAAGTTTCATGTTTTATGTTTAAGTATTTAATCAATTTTGAGTGGATTTGTGTATATGGTGTGAGATAAGGGTCCAATTTCATTCCTTTGCATAAGGATATCCAGTTTGCCCAATACCATTTATTGAAGAGTCTTTTTTCCATTGTTTATTCTTGGGAACTTTGTTGAAAATCAATTGACTATAAATGTGTGGAATCCCAAAAATCTGTAATAGCCAAAGCAATCATGAGCAAAAAGAACAAAGCCGGAGGCATCACACTACCTGATTTCAAACTATAGTGAAAAGCAATAGTAATTACAATAGCATGGTACTAGCATAAAAGTAGACACATTGGGTAATGGAACAGAATACAGAGCACAGAAATGAACCCATGCATCTATGATCAATCATTCACTTTTAAAATTACAAATTAAGTTATGGTGTTTCTTCTCCATGATTGTATTAGTTGTGCTGTTCAAGGCAAATGTCTTCTGTTTTAACCATAAATCTCTAAAACATGAGTTGTCATGCCTGTTTTATCAGAGAGTAATACATGCTATTTAGATAATCTTAGAAAGGGTGCCATATTTGATAAACAGATGAGCCCTTGGGGTGGTCCCCCTTGGTAAAGAGGTGTGTATCTTCCATGAAAAATGAGTAAGGTTGTTGAAGAACCAATGGTGGAACTACTGTAGGTACCATTAGTTAGTTTTCCACAATTCATTCCTAACTTTCTTGCCCCAAGACAATTTACAGAACAGCTCATTTTGTAGTCTCTCTTGAAGCTAGAAATTGTCATGTTGCCCAATTCTGGCCAAAGTAATCAAAGAAGAATTTTGCTGAGGACTTGTTCAAATATAATTTGCTGAGAAGAAATAAGCACAAGAAAAGAGCTGGCTGGTGTCACTTTTTCTCTTGGATTTCTGCCTTAAAAATGTGATTTCTACAGCTATGGAAACTATTTATCACAATATGCAAGAAGGATTAGGAAAAATAGCAGATAAAGAATTAGAAATAAAATAGGTATGTTGTAGTTTTAATTGCTGGATTATCCATAAAACAATCATCCTTTTGCTGCCTTTTAAGATAAACAATAAATAACATTATAGTGAAAATTTGTTACTTGCAGTTTAAAGTATTTTTAACTTCTATGTGTTGATTGACCATTAATTAATAAACTTTACCTCAGTGCACACCATATGATTTAGAAACTAAGAACTTGCAGACTGTCATGTTGGGAGAGATTTTTATGTAGAATCAATGAGTCATAGCATTCTGTGCATTGTTTGCTAGTCTTTAAAGAATAGCTCAGGTAAAACTGGGATGTGATTTGTAAAGTACAATTTCTAGAATCCCAGCTGTCTATAGAAGATGGAGGCTCATTTCATATATCTAAACATTAAGTTGCCTTCTGCAACAGTTCTAGCAAAGGGCCCAGTATCAGTATGAGAGTCATAGTTGATGGCTGATTGGAACAACAAATAAATGTTTTAAAACTAAAACCTACAGATTTAATAGATGAAAAGCAATATTCATATACAAGAACATAAGAAAGCATATGTTATTGAAGTTTTGAAAATGATACGAATAGAATTTTCATTGCCAGCAATTAGTAGAAAAAACTGAAATGGATCTTCTGATGAAATACTAATAAAAGAGCTACATAAAATGTAACAAATATATTTTTAAATGCCTTTCTGAAGTGGAAATAAATTAAAGCATTCACAAAGGTTAGAAACAGTGAAAGTGCAATCTAGGAATGAGGTGTACTCAAAAGTTAACTTTTACCCTTTGTTAAGGCACCAAGCCCATGGGATCTTAAGTTTCCATTGTGATGGCTATTCGGAGTATAGAAGACATAAGATAAAGCCTTGGACATGCTTAAAGTAAGGGATAAGATAGGAGATTGGTCTATAAAGCTGAGTTTCCAAAAGATTACACCTAAAATAAACCCACAGCAGAAGGAATGGTAAATAAAATTTCTTATGTCACTAGTATTGTATGAGGAGGAAAAAATTATCCTTTGAGAATTTATTACCGTAACATAGTTTTCACATAGACTTGATCCTCAGCTTTATAGAACTCATTTGGTGGGAGCCCCCAGGCAACTAACTAAACTAACCAAATAACTAAATGCAAAATCTACACTAAAAACTGTTAACTGCAATTCAGAATTCTTATGCATAGATACAAATCAAGAAACCCATAGGAAAAAAAAAAAAGTACCATGAGTGAAAACTAGCAGAAGTATACTTTCAGAAACATCATATATTAACTATCTTAGAAAATAATTTAAATAAACATGTTGTTTATATTTCAGGAAGGTTTAAACATTTGAATGAGGATTGATATGGTTTGGTTCTGTGTCCCCACCCAAATCTCACCTTGAATTGAAATAATCCCCACATGTCAAGGGGGGGACCAGGTGGAGATAATTGAATCATGGGGGGAGATAATTGAATCATGGGGGTGGTTTCCCCCATGCTCTTCTCAAGATAGTGTGTGAGTTCTAATGAGTTCTGATGGTTTTATAGAGGGCCTTTTTCCCTGTTTGCTCGGCACTTCTTCCTGCTGCCCTTTGAAGAAGGTGCCTTTCTTCCCTTTCACCTTCTGCCATGATTGTAAGTTTCCTGAGGCCTTCTCAGCCATGCAGTACTGTGAGTCAATTAAACCTCTTTTCTTTATATGTTACCCAGTCTTGATATTTCTTCATAGCAGCATGAGAACAGACTAATACAAGGATCAAGAAAGGTAAAAAATGTATGTACAGATTTAGAAAGAAATCTAGTGGAAGTTTTAGGAACGGAATTAGTACCTGAAGGAAACAATTCATTGCATTAAAGCAGAATCAAGAACTGGAAGACACACTAAAGAAAATATTCAGGAGATAATTCACAAATAGTTAAAAATATCAAATACTGGTTATAAGACATAGAAAGTGAATTAAGGAAGGCTGAATTAAGTGTAATTAAAATTTTAAAAAGAAAGACTAGCAGGAATAGGTGAAAGGCAATAATTGAAAACTAAATATACTTATGAATTTTGAGATATAATTATGAATTATGAAATTGTGAATATAATATACAGAATAAATGTAAAACAGTCAACATTTTATCCTGGAAAAAGATCAAGAAATCAGCAACAGGGTCAATACAAATAAATTCTGAACAAAATATATTATATTATAATATGCAATATAATAATAGTACTATAATAGTAACTATAGTCGTATAGTAATGTAAAAAGGTAATAAAGCCTCAGTGACAAAGAGAATGTTTTAGAAGTGGCAAGAAAAGATAGATCTTTTGTAATGAAATGACAATAGGCTGGTATCTCAGCAGCAACAACGGAAGATAGAAGGCACTGTAATAATAAGTTCAATATATTGAAAGAAAATACCTTATAAATTTATAATTTCATGTAAGAACTACTATCTTTCAATAACCAAGTTGAAAGAAAATATTTGTTTTCAGGCAAAAGAACAAAAATGTAAAGAAACTGACTTCCAACTGACCCATTGAACAAACCTCCAAAGATAGTAATAGCTGTAGTTGGAAAACAATTTCTGCTTGAAGCTTTAACATATAAGTAGATAAGAAAAATAATGTTTTTTTCTAACTGTATAATATTTATTTTACTTTCTTATCTCAAAAAAATCACCTAGGACCCATACTCTCATCCTCAGTTTCCTTATCAAGGCAGTATTTACTTCATTAGGTTTATAATATGGATAAATTCTTAGCAAGAAAAATGGTAGATAATAAACAATTGGCATATGTTACACATAATTCTGATGATGTCTTTGTATCAATATCCAATGTAAGCTAACAAAGGTATGTGTTTATTTTTGTTCTGTACCAATCAGAACATAAATGGCAACATGACAATTTATGGCAAAGAAAGCACAAAAATAAAATCTTGATTTACATTTCCATGTTTATAATGAAAGTTGTGAAAGGCATACAAAATCACAATGTTGAAAATTCGGAATTTCAAAAACCTAAGGCTATTGTGTATGCTTATGATATCAAATAATAATCTACTTTATCATGTCTATGACTTTAATTGTCTGGTTCTGATTAAAATTGTGATCTCTAGAGAAAAGTATGTGAAAAGTAGCTGTCAACTGCTCAATAAACATTTACTAAAAATTTATTTTACTTAAAATTATCTTTTGGTGGATAATTGTGAACATTTAATGTTTCTCAAATCTATGCATTGCCAAAACAAAGCAAAACAAAAACCAAAATATATATGTAATAAGCATTATATATATAAAATATATAATATATATTTTACATATATAACGTATACATAATATGTATTATATATAACATGTATACAATACATGTTATATATATTACATATATTACATATAACATATATACACATAGTGTGCATAGTATAATTTTTTTAACTTTTAAGCTCAGAAGTACAAGTGCAGGTTTGTTAACCTAGGTAAACTTGTATTGTGGGAGTTTTTACAATTCCTAGCATTTCTGTGAAAATACGTTGTGAATTTTGCCAACGTAATCTCCACGAATTTCTTCCCTTTTTACAGATACATAGGGACAGGTAACTTTGAACACTTAATGTGGCACCATGAAGAGGAGTCAGACAAAACCTTCTAGGTAAGTAGTTTTGAAAAGTTTAGTCTACCTATATGGACTTTAGTTTCCTTATATGTTTTGACATATTAGAATGATATGCCATTTCTGGGAGAGTGACAAATAGGCCATGGGGTTTTATGATAATTAAATAAGATAAATCATGCAAAGTGTATAAAAATGGGCATGACACATAGTAAACCAAAATATTACTTCCTCTTTGCACCTGTATGCCATGCATTGTGCTAGATGATTTATTTCTTATTTGATTTGCTTTTTCTAATGACCAGAGAAGTCTGATTTTAAAGAGTGAAGATAAGCAAATTAACCAAACAACCAAAACACATTTTGATTGACATGCCTTTTTCAATGCAATTTCCTCAACTTTCAAATATAAATATTCTAACTGCTTCCTCATTCTCCTATCCAACAGGTCTTTTAAGACACCAGAACTAATTTTCATTCCACCTCTCATTATTGAAACTAATAGTAGCTACAATTTATTGTGTGTATGCAATTTCTCAGAACCTATATGAGGAGCTTTATACCATTTAATTTAACATAAATGTCTGGTGCTTTTTCTTAGTTTTTGTCCTGATTAATATTATTGTAGCACGTGACATTCATGACAATTTGTGTCTTAGAATAGTGTTTTTCCTGATTCAGAGGTATTGCACACTTCAAACACATCACCCTCCTTTCGCAGTTCCTGACTGAAGCCGTTAAAAATCAAACTTAAGGTCTAGTAATCCTAGTATTTGGGAAGCTGAGGCAGAAGGACTGCTTGAGACCAGGAATTTGACACTAGTCTGGGCAGTATAGCAAGACTCTGTCTCTACAATTTTTTTTCTTTTTTTTGCAGCATAGCAAAACTCTGTCTCTATATAATTTTTTTTGTTTTAATTAGCCAAACCTGGTGGCATGTGCCTGTAGTCTTAGCTACTCAGGAGGCTGAGGAAGGAGGATCACTAGAGCCCAGGAGTTTAAGGCTGCAAAGAGGTATGATTGTGCCACTGAACTCCAGCCTGGGCAACAGAGTGAGACTGTTTCTTAAAAAAATAAAATAAAATAACTAAATTAAAATTAAAATCACAGTTATATTGAGGCTACAGAACAAGATGGCCTAGTAGAACCCTCCAGCAATTGTACCCCCCTTGCAGAAACATCAACTTGAACAACAGTGCATGCAAAAAGAAAGCACCTTTGTAAGAAATAAAACATCATTTGAGAGAACAGAGTACCTGGTCTTAGCATAATGACAAGAAAATATGCATTGAATAGGATTGGAAGAACAGTCTTGAACAGCCTATACCACACCTCCTCCAACCCCAAGGAGCACAGTCTGAAAAGAGAATCTGTGTGCTTGGGGAGGAAAAGCACGGTGAGTGTGGGATTATGCATTGGAACTCAGTGCCACCCTGTCACTATGCAACACAACACAGGAAAAAATTCTGCCAGTGCCCACAGAGGGAGCATTTAGAATAGCCCTGGACCTGAGGGGAATCCATTGTCCTGGCAGAAGGAATGTGAGTCCCAACCTTCTTTACCACTGGCTGACTAAAGTGACCTTGAGCCTTGAATAAATTTCAGTGACAACTAGACCATCCTGACTGCAGTCCTTGAATGAGCCCTGGTGCCACACTGCTCTCAGAGGCTGTGGGCTCAGGGTACAACCCAGCATGACACTAGCTGCAGTGGCCATGGGAGAGCCTATGCCACCCCTCCCCCAATGCCAGACAGTGCACTGTAGACAGAGACTCCTTCAATTTGGATGAAAGAGTGAAGAATACAGAGGACTTTGTCCTCCAACTGAATATCAGCCCAACCACGTTAAAATAAAGCACCAGGGAGAATCCCAAAGCCCCTAGTTCCAGGTCATTATTACTAGGTCATTGCTTCTAGACCCATTGTGAGCCAGAAAGAAATCTACTTCCCTGGTAGGATGGACCAAGTTTAGCAGGACTCACCACTAGGTGCTGGTTAAAATGGCCTCTGGCCTTGAATAAACATTGGTGGCAGTCACACAATAGCAGCCATGGGCCTTTGGCAAGCTACAGTAATGTGCTGGTCTGGGAGACTCTGGGCTTCACGTACAAGCTGGTGTAATGACAGCTGCAGCAGCCATGGAATTGCTAACATCACCCCTCCCCCAACTCCAGGCATCTTAGCATAGAGAGAGGCTCTTTCTACTAGAATAAAGAGAAGGAAGAGAGCAAGGGACTTTCCCTGGGAACCTAGGGAAATCTCCCTCATCTTCCTTATGCCCATCAGGGCTGGGCATTTAGGAGTCTGCAAGAGTTGCAGCATATTGGGCTTAGTGTGCCATGTAGTGTGAAAATGGCTGCAGTGACCACAGGCTAACGGAACTCAAAACTCAGTCCCCTCTGAATTCTTGGAAGGCCTCTGAAGAGGGACAGTTACAAACAAGACCAGACTGTGAAGACTAGAATAAATAGTCTTCAATGCCCAGACATCAATGAATGTCCACAAGCATCAAGGACGTCCAGGAAGATATGATCATACCAAATGGAATAAATAAGGCACCAGTGACTAACCCTGAAGGACAGAGACATGTGATCCCTTACCCAGAGAATATAAAATAGCTGTTTTGAGGAAGCTCAATGAATTTCAAGAAAACAGATGGAAGGAATCCATAAATTTATGAGATAAATTTAACAAAGAAATTAAAATAATTTTAAAAATCAAACAAATTTTGGAGCCACAAAATAATGAACAAAACTGAAAAATGCATTAGAGTGTCTCAACAGCAGAACTGATCAAACGGAGGAAAGAATCAGTGAGCTCAAAGTCAGGATACTTGAAAGTTACATAGAGGAGAAAAAAGATGAAAGAGTGAAGAATGTTTCCAAGATCTAGAAAATAGCCTCAAAGGGGCAAATCTAAGATTTATCGGCCTTAAAGAAGAAGTAAAGGTAGAAATAGGGGTAGAAAGTTTATTCAAAGAAATGACAACTGAGATCTTTCCAAACCTAGATGAAGACATATTCTTTGAAGTCATGTGATCATTTTAATAAATGCCACAAAAGCATTCAATAACATTCAACATCCTTTCATGACCAAAGCTCTCAACAAACTGGGTTTAGAAGAAATACCTCAAATCAATATAGGTCATATGTGAAAAACCCATGGCTAGCATCACACTGAATTGGGAAAAACTGAAAGCTTTTCCTGTAAGAACTGGAACAAGAAAAGGTTTCCTACTTTCACCACTTTTATTAAATATAGTACTAGAAGTCCTAGCAAGAGCAATTGGACAAGAGAAAGAAATAAAGGGCATTAGAAATTAGGAAGGAAGAAGTCAAATTGTCCTTGCAGATGACATTATCTTATACTTATAGAAACCTAAGATTTCTGCAAAAAGACTGTTATGGCTGATAAATTCAGTAAGATTGCGTGTTACAAAATCAAAATACAAAAACCAGCAGCATTTCTATATGCCAATAGTGAACAATTTGAAAAAGAAATCAAGAAAACAATTCCATTTAAAATAGCTACAAAAAATACCTGGGAATAAATTTAACCAAAAAGTGAGAGATCTCTACAGTGAAAATGATAAAATGCTAACGAAAGAAATTGAAGATGACACAAACAATGGAAAAATATTCCATTTTCATGGATTGAAAGAATTGTGTTAAAATGTTGATGATACCGAATGCAGTCTATAGATTCAATGAAATCTCTACCAAAATACCAATGATCTTGTTCACAGAAATAGAAAAAAAAAAAAAAACACTAAAATTTGCATGGAACTACAGAAGATCCTGACATAGCCACAGCAATTCTTGGCAAAGAGAATAAAGCTGGGGGCATCACTTCACCTGACTTCAGAATATACTGCAAAGCTATAGTAATGAAAACAGCATGGTACCAGCATAAAAGCAGACACATAGACCAATGGAACAGAATGGGGGACCAAGAAATAACTACACACATTTAAAGCCAAATGATTTTTCAGAAATGCACCAAGAACATATGTTGGATAATGGAGAGTGTCTGTAATCAATGGTGCTAATAATACTGGATATCCATATGCAGACAAATGAAACTAGACCCCTTTATCTGTCATCATATAAAAAATCAACTCTGGGTTAAAGACAAACCAAAGACCTGAAACTATGAAACTATTAGAAGAAAACAGAGAAATGCTTCAGGATGCTGTTCTGGGCAAAGATTGTTTGAGCACCTCACAATCACATACAATCAAAGCAAAAATTGACAAATGGGATTACATCAAACTAAAAGCTTCTACACAGCAAAGGAAACAATGAAGAAAGTGAAGAGACAACTTCTTGGGAGAAAACATTTGTAAACTATCCACCCAACAAAGAGTTAATTGCTAGAAAATATAAGGAAGTCAAACCATTGGGTAGCAAACAAACAAAACAAAACAAAACAAAATCTAATTTAAAAATAAAAAAGGCCTGGATAGACATTTCTTAAAATCGACACCACGGCTGGGTATATGGAAAAATGCTCAACATCATTCATACCTAATTATCAGGAAAATGCAAATCAAATATCATCTCATCCTAGTTAGAATGCTATTAACAAAAATACAAAACATAACAACTGCTGGCAACAGTGTGGAGAAAGTGGGGAACACTTGTACACTGTTGGTGAGAATATAAATTAGTACAGCCATTATGGAAAATAATATGGACATTCCTCAAAAAACTATAATTAGAACTACCATATAATTCATGAATCCCCCAGCTGGGTATGTATCCCAAAGAAAGGAAATCAGTATATCAAAGAGATATCTTCACTCCCATGTTTATTGCAGCACTATTTATAACCAAGATACGGAATCGACCTAAGTGTCCATCAATGGATGTATGAAGATAATGTGGTGTATGTACATGATGGAATATTTTCAGCCATAAAAAGAATATTATTATTAATGGATGAATAAATAAAGATAATGTGGTGTATATACATGATGGAATATTATCCAGCCACAAAAAGAATAATATTCTATTACTTTCAGTAACATACAACAAAGTAGAGGGCATTATGTTAAGTGAAATAGACAAGGTATAGAAAGACAAATATCACACGTTCTCATTCATGTCTGGGGGCTAAAACAATTGACTTTATGGAGATAGTGACTAGAATGTTGGTGAGGCCAGGAAGGGTAGTGGGGTAGAGAGTTGAAGACAGGTTGGTTTACAAAAATACAGTTAGGAGTGTGAGCAACGCAGAAGACAGATGATTTCTGCATTTCCAACTGAGGTAATGGGTTCATCTCACTGGGGAGTGCCGGAGAGTGGGTGCAGGACAGTGGGTGCAGTGCATGGTGCATGAGCCAAAGCAGGATGAGGCATCGCCTCACCCGGGAAGCATGAGGGATCAGGGAATTCCCTTTCCTAGTCAAAGAAAGGGGTGACAGATGGCACCTGGAAAATCAGGTCACTCCCACCCTAATACTGCGCTTTTCCAACGGGCTTAACAAACGGCACACCAGGAGATTATATCCCACACATGGCTCAGAGGGTCCTACACCCACGAAGCCTCGCTCATTGCTAGCACAGCAGTCTGAGATCAAACTGCAAGGTGGCAGCGAGGCTGGGGGAGGGGCACCTGCCATTGCCCAGGCTTGAGTAGGTAAACAAAGCGGCTGGGAAGCTTGAACTGGGTGGAGCCCACCACAGCTCAAGGAGGCCTGCTGCCTCTGTAGGCTCCACCTCTGGGGGCAGGGCACAGACGAACAAAAGATAGCAATAACCTCTGCAGACTTAAATGTCCCTGTCTGACAGCTTTGAAGAGAGTAGTGGTTCTCCCAGCACGCAGCTTGAGATCTGAGAACGGGCAGACTGCCTCCTCAAGTGGGTCCCTGACCCCCGAGCAGCCTAACTGGGAGGCACCCCCAGTAGGGGCGGACTGACACCTCACACAGCCGGGTACTCCTCTGAGACAAAACTTCCAGAGGAACGATCAGGCAGCAACATTTGCGGTTCACCAATATCTGCTGTTCTGCAGCCACCACTGCTGATACCCAGGCAAACAGGGTCTGGAGTGGACCTCCAGTAAACTCCAATAGACCTGCAGCTGAGGGTCCTGACTGTTAGAAGGAAAACTAACAAACAGAAAGGACATCCACACCAAAAACCCATCTGTAGGTCACCATCATCAAAGACCAAAGGTAGATAAAACCACAAAGATGGGGAAAAAACAAAGCAGAAAAACCGGAAACTCTAAAAATCAGAGCGCCTCTCCTCCTCCAACGGAACACAGCTCCTCACCAGCAACAGAACAAAGCTGGACGGAGAACGACTTTGAAGAGTTGAGAGAAGAAGGCTTCAGAAGATCAAACTACTCCAAGCTAAAGGAGGAAGTTCCAAATAATGGCAAAGAAGTTAAAAACTTTGAAAAAAAATTAGACGAATGGATAACTGGAATAAACAGTGCAGAGAAGTCCTTCAAGGACCTGATGGAGCTGAAAACCACAGGACGAGAACTACGTAATGAATGCACAAGCCTCAGTAACCAATGCAATCAACTGGAAGAAAGGGTATCAGCGATGGAAGACAAAATGAATGAAATGAAGCGTGAAGAGAAGTTTAGAAAAAAAAGAATAAAAAGAAACGAACAAAGCCTCCAAGAAATATGGGACTATGTGAAAAGACCAAATCTACGTCTAATTGGTGTACCTGAAAGTGACGGGGAGAATGGAACCCAGTTGGAAAACACTCTGCAGGATATTATCCAGGAGAACTTCCCCAATCTAGCAAGGCAGGCCAAAATTCAAATTCAGGAAACACAGAGAATGCCACAGAGATACTCCTCGAGAAGAGCAACTCCAAGACACATAATTGTCAGATTCACCAAAGTTGAAATGAAGGAAAAAATGTTAAGGGCAGCCAGAGAGAAAGGTCGGGTTACCCAAAAAGGGAAGCCCATCAGACTAACAGCTGATCTCTTGGCAGAAACTCTACAAGCCAGAAGAGAGTGGGGGCCAATATTCAACATTCTTAAAGGAAAGAATTTTCAACCCAGAATTTCATATCCAGCCAAACTAAGCTTCATAAGTGAAGGAGAAATAAAATACTTTACAGACAAGCAAATGCTGAGAGATTTTGTCACCACCAGGCCTGCCCTAAAAGAGCTCCTGAAGGAAGCACTAAACATGGAAAGGAACAACTGGTACCAGCCACTGCAAAAACATGCCAAATTGTAAAGACCATCAAGGCTAGGAAGAAACTGTATCAACTAACGAGCAAAATAACCAGCTAAAAACATAATGACAGGATCAAATTCACACATAACAATACTAACCTTAAATGTAAATGGGCTAAATGCTCCAATTAAAAGGCACATAGTGGCAAATTGGATAAAGGGTCAAGACCCATCAGTGTGCTGTACTCAGGAAACCCATCTCAGGTGCAGAGACACACATAGGCTCAAAAAAAAGGGATGGAGGAAGATCTACCAAGGAAATGGAAAACAAAAAAAGGCAGGGTTTACAATCCTAGTCTCTGATAAAACAGACTTTAAACCAACAAAGATCAAAAGAGACAAAGAAGGCCATTACATAATGGTCAAGGGATCAATTCAACAAGAAGAACTAACTATCCTAAATATATATGCACCCAATACATTAACACCCAGATTCATAAAGCAAGTCCTTAGTGACCTACAAAGAGACTTAGACTCCCACACAACAATAATGGGAGACTTTAACACCTCACTGTCAACATTAGACAGATCAACGAGACAGAAAGTTAACAAGGATATCCAGGAATTGAACTCAGCTCTGCACCAAGTAGACGTAATAGACATCTACAGAACTCTCCACCCCAAATCAACAGAATATGCATTCTTTGCAGCACCACACCACACCTATTCCAAAAATGACCACATAGTTGGAAGTAAAGCACTCCTCAGCAAATGTAAAAGAACAGAAATTATAGCAAACTGTCTCTCAGACCACAGTGCAATCAAACTAGAACTCAGGATTAAGAAACTCACTCAAAACCACTCAACTACATGGAAACTGAACAACAACATGCTCCTGAATGACTACTGGGTACATAACAAAATGAAGGCAGAAATAAAGATGTTCTTTGAAACCAATGAGAACAAAGACACAACATACCAGAATCTCTGGGACACATTCAAAGCAGTATGTAGAGGGAAATTTATAGCACTAAATGGCCACAAGAGAAAGCAGGAAAGATCTAAAATTCACACCCTAACAACACAATTAAAAGAACTAGAGAAGCAAAAGGAAACACATTCAAAAGCTAGCAGAAGGCGAGAAATAACTAAGATCAGAGCAAAACTGAAGGAAATAGAGACACAAAAAAACCTTCAAAAAATCAATGAATCCAGGAGCTGGTTTTTTGAAAAGATCAACAAAATTGATAGACCACTAGCAAGACTAATAAAGAAGAAAAGAGAGAAGTATCAAATAGATGCAATAAAAAATGACAAAGGGGATATCACCACCGATCCCACAGAAATACAAACTACCATCAGAGAATACTATAAACACCTCTAGGCAAATAAACTAGAAAATCTAGAAGAAATGGATAAATTCCTTGACACATACACCCTCCCAAGACTAAACCAGGAAGAAGCTGAATCTCTGAATAGACCAATAACAGGCTCTGAAATTGAGGCAATAATTAATAGTTTACCAACCAAAAAAAGTCCAGGACAAGATGGATTCACAGCCGAATTCTACCAGAGGTACAAAGAGGAGCTGGTAGCATTCCTTCTGAAACTATTCCAATCAACAGAAAAAGAGGGAATCCTCCCTAACTCATTTTATGAGGCCAACATCATCCTGATACCAAAGCCTGGCAGAGACACAACAAAAAAAAAGAGAATTTTAGACCAATATCCTTGATGAACATTGATGCAAAAATCCTCAATAAAATACTGGCAAACTGAATCCAGCAGCACATCAAAAAGCTTATCCACCATGATCAAGTGGGCTTCATCCCTGGGATGCAAGGCTGGTTCAACATATGAAAATCAATAAACATAATCCAGCATATAAACAGAACCAAAGACAAAAACCACATGATTATCTCAATAGATGCAGAAAAGGCCTTTGACAAAATTCAACAATACTTCGTGATAAAAACTCTCAATAAATAGGTATTGATGGGACGTATCTCAAAATAATAAGAGTTATCTATGACAAAACCACAGCCAATATCATACTGAATGGACAAAAACTGGAAGCATTCCCTTGGAAAACTGGCACAAGACAGGGATGCCCTCTCTCACCACTCCCATTCAACATAGTGTTGGAAGTTCTGGCCAGGGCAATCAGGCAGGAGAAGGAAATAAAGGGTATTCAATTAGGAAAAGAGGAATTCAAATTGTCCCTGTTTGCAGATGACATGATTGTATATCTGGAAAACCCCATCATCTCAGCCCAAAATCTCCTTAAGCTGATAAGCAACTTCAGCAAAGTCTCAGGATACAAAATCAATGTGCAAAAATCACAAGCATTTTTATACACCAATAACAGAGAGCCAAATCATGAGTGAACTCCCATTCACAATTGCTTCAAAGAGAATACAATGCCTAGGAATACAACTTACAAGGGATATGAAGGACCTCTTCAAGGAGAACTACAAACCACTGCTCAATGAAATAAAAGAGGATACAAACAAATGGAAGAACATTCCATGCTCATGGGTAGGAAGAATCAATATCGTGAAAATGGTCATACTGCCCAAGGTAATTTATAGATTCAATGCCATCCACATCAAGTTACCAATGACTTTCTTCACAGAATTGGAAAAAACTACTTTAAAGTTCATATGGAACCAAAAAAGAGCCCACATTGCCAAGTCAATCCTAAGCCAAAAGAACAAAGCTGGAGGCATCACCGTACCTGACTTCAAACTATACTACAAGGCTACAGTAACCAAAACAGCATGGTACTGGTACCAAAACAGAGATGTAGACCAATGGAACAGAATAGAGCCCTCAGAAATAATGCCACATATCTACAACTATCTGATCTTTGACAAACCTGACAAAAACGAGCAATGGGGAAGGGATTCCCTATTTAATAAATGATGCTGGGAAAACTGGTTAGCCATATGTAGAAAGCTGAAACTGGATCCTTTCCTTACACCTTATACAAAAATTAATTCGAGATGGATTAAAGACTTACATGTTAGACCTAAAACCATAAAAACCCTAGAAGAAAACCTAGGCATTACCATTCAGGACATAAGCATGGGCAAGGACTTCATGTCTAAAGCACAAAAGCAATGGCAACAAAAGCCAAAATTGACAAATGGGATCTAATTAAACTAAAGAGCTTCTGCACAGCAAAGAAAACCACCATCAGAGTGAATAGGCAACCTACAGAATGGGAGAAAATTTTGCAACCTACTCATCTGACAAAGGGCTAATATCCAGAATCTACAATGAACTCAAACAAATTTACAAGAAAAAAACAAACAACCCCATCAACAAGTGGGTGAAGGATATGAACAGACGCTTCTCAAAAGAAGACATTTATGCAGCCAAAAACCACATGAAAAAATGCTCACCATCACTGGCCATCAGAGAAATGCAAATCAAAACCACAATGAGATATCATCTCACACCAGTTAGAATGGCAATCATTAAAAAGTCAGGAAACAACAGGTGCTGGAGAGGATGTGGAGAAATAGGAACACTTTTACACTGTTGGTGGGACTGTAAACTAGTTCAACCATTGTGGAAGTCAGTGTGGCGATTCCTCAGGGATCTAGAACTAGAAATACCATCTGACCCAGCCATCCCATTACTGGCTATATACCCAAAGGATTATAAATCATGCTGCTATAAAGACACATGCACACATATGTTTATTGTGGCACTATTCACAATAGCAAAGACTTAGAACCAACCCAAATGTCCAACAATGATAGAGTGGATTAAGAAAATGTGGCACATATACACCATGGAATACTATGCAGCCATAAAAAAATGATGAGTTCATGTCCTTTGTAGGGACATGGATGAAGCTGGAAACCATCATTCTCAGCAAACTATCGCAAGGACAAAAAACCAAACACCACATGTTCTCACTCATAGGTGGGAATTGAACAATGAGAATACATGGACAGAGGAAGGGGAACATCACACACCGGGGACTGTTGTGGGGTTGGGGGAGCGGGGAGGGATCGCATTAGGAGATATACCTAATGCTAAATGACAAGTTATTGGGTGCAGCACACCAACATGGCACATGTATACATATGTAACAAAACTGCACGTTGTGCACATGTACCCTAAAACTTAAAGTATAATAATAATAAAAATATATATATATGTATATATATATTCAAATGTAAAAAAAAATACAGTTAGAAGGATAGGTTCTATTGTTTGACAGCACAATAGGACACTATCATTAAAAATAATTTATTGCACATTTCAAAATATCTAGAAGTATTGGAATGTTCCCAACAAAAACAAATGATACATCTTTGAGGTGATGGATATTTTAATTACCTTAATTTGATTATTATACCTTGGATGCTTGTATCAAAATACCACATGTACCCCATAAATATATACAACTATTATGAATCAATTTTTTAAAATAAAAAAATTATAGTTATATAATTATCTAGTGTTCTATTTTGCTTCTGTATTCCTCTAAAATCTGTCATACTGCCACATTATACATACAAATCCCAATTGCATCTTTCACATTAGCCCTTTTTGTGTTACTTCCTTGGCATTTTACAACTGCCCTAATGTTTTTAGATCAAGACATGAGGGGGAAAGAAATTTTACATTATTACATTTAACTTAGTATTTACTTGTGATTCATAGCTGAAGTTTACTTACTTCTCTGAAACGTATTTAACCATCCATAGATACAAAATAGCTATTGTGTAAATTCTTCTTGTATTAAAAGAAAAAAAACTAATTTGTGTTTGATTTAGTAGTTCCCAAATGAGAATAATCAAGCAAATGTGTTTTCTCAATCACTGACTTTCTTGGACCAAATAAGTTAGATAAGAAAAACTAAGCTATGGCATATGATTTCTGGAAACAGTTATTGTTGAAACAAATTAATTTAGAAAGAAGTTATAAAACTTATGTACAAATTTTATTTATTAGATATTTATGCATTGCTTTCCACGTTTCTCCTATTGTGAGGTATAAAGTACAGAAATATGAATTTTACTGAAATAAATGTAAATTTTACTTAATCTTTTCTTAATAGCTTTCATTTTTGTTATTTGGAAAAATGATTCATAAGGATCACGTAGGGAGTAGCATTGGTTATAGTATAACTGATTTTAAAGAAAATTTTTCCATGGAGAAAGACAAAATTGAGTTGAAAATACAAGACTGTTAATTGTTTTGTTCCTGTATAAGAATCAACAAAAGTAAACTCATTGTTTCATCTTATGTTATGTAACTGTCTGCTCTTAAAGAAAAACACAAATTCACACAATCCTTTATACTTTCTATACAATAATTTACATGTATTTTATATATTTACCTTTATATTTATAAACATACACAATATATTTTTCATTTGTTGAGAATTGAGTGCAGTTTTTCATCAGGGGGTCATTTTCTTCTATAATTTTCAAGATAAAAGACATTCTTTTAATGTCAGCCTCATGCCTACATGGCTATGTTTTCTACTATTAAGCAAGCAACCTGGATTTAATTCCCAACCCAGATTGCACACTCCCCAGACTACTTGGTTCAACACCTGTAAAGAAGAAAATTACTTATGTTACATGAAAGCACCTATTTTAGTTTTAAGGAGAGGTGCTAGTTTCCAATAAAGGAATAGAGTGTATTTTTCTTTGTTTTCTGTTGGAAATGTAGTAGTTGTGGCCTTTCAGCAGAATATGTCAAGCCACCCCACAAAGAGTTCCTTTCCCAGTGTATTTATTGCTGCGTGCACCACCACATGTTTTTCGCATAAAGAAAAGAAAAATGCAGGTATTAGAGATTCTAATTATATGTTTCTACAAGCTGAATTAACACGGAAATGTCAAATTGCTTGGGGGAGCATTTAACCCTGTACCTCTAGAGCATTCCAAAGTATTTGTGTTTCTGTACACTTAGACTCTTAAAAGCTATTTGACCGTTTTCCCAGGGTATCTGCACCTAAGAGACTAACTAGCTTTATACTGACACAGTGACAACTATTAGATAGAACTTACTTCAGGTTTTTCTTGTTGTCGTTGTCGGGGGATTGTAACTTTTTATTCCACTCCAAATCTGAAGGTTTAAGATAGAGGAATATAAACTTTCAGTAGGTCAGTGTATTAGCAGATGTTTATATTGTCTGTGTGTTTGTGTATCTGTGTGTGGGTATATGTTTATGAGACAGAGGGAGAGAAAATCCAGCTAACTGTATCTTAGAAACATCAATGGAGAGGTAGAGAGATAGCATTCTTCTCCCACCCTGTAATACTTGATTTCTGGACTAGGAAAAAAATTGGTAGCGGTCCACTTGGGATTTTTTATAATATTGCAAAATGGCTATGATTATTAATTTATGTTTTAACAAATAACCACATTAAGGGATAAAGTAGAAAGCACAGTCATTGGAGCATAAACTTGAACAGGAATAATAAGACATTTTATTGTCAGCAGGGATTTATCTCTCAGGGATGCTAGAATGCTGGGTTTCCTTTGCTTACCATGAATTATTGATTCTATGTCCTGTTACTTCCATTATGGTGTTTCCAAAATATCAGCCTAACCAGTCTTTTGTATTAAACCTATTTCAAAAATAATAGACTACTAATATAATTGCATCAGTTTCTTAAAATATTGACATTTGGGTATAATTATATATATATATATTCATATTCTAGTATTATAGAAAAATAACTGAAAAAATGCAGTGGCCTCAAATATATTAACTATCTACATTTCAAAATCTGTGTAAACATTTTATTGAAAAATTTTTAGGCTTTTCCTTACGTATGTTGAGAAATTTTTTGGCATTTTTTATTTTCTCCTGGCAACATGAAACAGCTGGGTTTAAACAACAGTTTAGATTCAGGTTTGTTTTCTTTCTTTTTTCTTTCAAGAAGAGGTCATGGACCACCTGTAAACTGTATCTTGATGGATTAAATAAAACTTGTAAAATTGAATCCTGGTAATAAAGTAGATTCTATAAAATAGACACCTTGTATCTCTCTCCATTATTCCATTCTTTTGTGGTTCTTCCTTGATTCAAATGTGCACTTATTTTAACATATGTAATTTCTACAAATTCTACAACACTTCTTGCTTTCTTTCCTAAGACACCTATAGTGACTTTTCTTATTGTGCTGGGCAAACTTTGAACTCCTAGATGCCATTTATGACAGCTCAAAATGAATGCCTTGATAAGGCTACAAAGCAAAGTGGTGGTTTGAAAAGCCTATTGATGAAAGGTTGGCAGGGAGGCTGTGCTAACCACATACAAGGATCATGCATGAGGCTACAGGAGGTCACAGGTTTTTAAGGAGCATGGATCAAGCAGGGTCAGATTGGTTACAGCCAATTGCACAGCACATTCTTCTCCATTCATCCCCAGCTGCATCTCTAATTATGACCTACACAATCAGCGATGAAGCATTAAAAAGTGGAACTGTATTGTTCCATGGTGAGTGCTTAGCAAAAAAGCTGGAATTTGATACTTAGTCACAGTTTGCAAACAATGTGGTTGAACCACCTGAGGGGTCACATTTTTACATTCTGAGGCAATTTATTAGTAATGGTACATGTCAGTCAAAAATCCCCCTAAAGCTCTTTCATTACTAGCCATGACTTTGATACAGAAATGGTTCAAAGTAATAGGCAAATAAAACAAGAGCTAGATCATTTACAAAGAAGGATCACCACATTCCCTTTATCCTTTCCTGATGAGCAATCTTTGTAGTTGAGCTCTAAGTGGTATAAAGATTATACTGGATGGGTTATTTTGAAAGCAAGCCTTTTTATTTGTCAATGAGGGATTGTTAAAGCTTCTAAACTATTTCCATGATTTCTTCCATTTTAACTGAAAATATAAACAGAAGCAAACACTATGGTTGAGTCACTGCAACGACACTTCTCCCAGCTATAGTTTTTTAGATAGGAATGACTCAAGTTTACAAAGCTGGTATAAATTTGGAAAGAGTCCTGCATAAAGATGTTTCACAACTTCCTTCCAAAACACACACACACATACACACACACTCACACACACACATTCATACACAAATTTCTTTTTCAAGACAAATTTAAGGAATTCAACAAAAATTACTTTTCTATTTTTGGAAGGAAATACCACCTTTCATCAACAAATGCAACATTTTAGTAGTTTTAATTTTTCTATACATGCTTCTGGAATGATTACTATTATACATTTCTTTCTTCATCTACTGACTTCTATGTAGGAACTTACCCTTCATAACTGATGCAGTTATGACATCACAGGATGTATTATATGTGTAGAATAATGGTTCTATTGCCATAGCCTCTCTAAGTGAAGGTTTTTTAACAATGAAAGTCACATTCTTAAAGATTTTATAGGGTCCATTTTAAATCAATAACCAAAAAGTTAAAATAAGAAGTAGAATATACTGTAGAAAGCAGGCCGAGTGTGGTGCCTCATACCTGTAATCTCAGCACTTTAGGAGGCTGAGTCAGGAGGATTGCTTGAGCCCAGAAGTTTGAGACCAGCCGAGGAAACATGGCAAAACCCTGTCTCTACAAAAAACACAAAAGTTAGCTAGGTGTGATGGCATGTGCCTGTAGTCCCAGCTACTCAGGGGGCTGAAGTGGGAAGACCACCTGATTCTGGGAAATCGAGGCTGTGGTGAGCTGTGATCATGCCATTGCACGCTAGCCTGGGTGACAGGGTGTCAGAGTGAGACCCTGTGTCCAAAACAAACAAACAAACAAAAAAACACAAAACTTAGTAGTAGTAGTAGAAGTAAAAATCAATCAATTGAAATTGCGTATGTAGAGAGAAAAAACTTGAAAGCAGTCTAGACTTTATTCTATTTCTTTGTTTTATACTAGTCATTTTTAAAAAAGAAACAATAAATAATGGGATGTGTAGGAAAAATATAACGTAGTGAAAATAACTAAGATTTACAAATCATTTTTACATGCCAGGACATATAATCTGCAATTTAGATGTAGTATCTCAATTAATCCTCAAAGCAGTCCTATGCATCATTTGCCTCTCTAAAGCCTTATGAAGTATGTATTATTATTCCAAATTTAGAAGACAGAAAAATTAGATTCAAGGTCACATATACTGCTTCACCGTAAATTTCTGATTACTCTATTAACTGATACTTTATTAATCTTATAATAATATTTGTGGCTTAACCCCGCACCAACTTGAGCAATTTGATTCCAGTTTAAAAAGTAAATTATATATTTGTTTTCTTGTTTTATATTAAAAATAGTTTTCTAATCAATGTTCACCATTTTTGTTTGAAATCTGGAAGCTATGCACCTGTGTATGAACATCTATGCATATATCTTTTGATCCCACTCTTAAACTCCCCTAACCATTTCCATTGCCCATAAACATTAACATTTTAGAGTGAAAAATTTGGTTGTGTAAACATTAATGTAATAATTAACTCAACAAAAGTAATCAGCACATGATAAATAATTGGCTAAAAGTAAAAAAAAAAAAAAAACAGTATTGTTATGTAGCCTCAAAGCAACACCCCACAAATGGCTTGATAAATACGTGCAATGAAATGAAACTTTACAATGGAAATTCTCACAGAAATCACCTTCACCAACAGGCTGAATTTGGCATCTTCTAAGAAGACACAAATGGTCATTATGTGATTCTAGTATAATAGGAAGTACACAACATCACGTGTAGTATTCTTGTCAAAGTTGTTTAACCTTAGTGTAATCATGAATAAACGTTCAAAAACACTCAGATGGTGGGACATTCTATCAGAAAATTTGGCTCTATTATTAAAAGAAAAAATGTCAATATCATGAAAAACAAAAAAAAGGCGAAATGAACAAAGTGTAATTTCACATTAAACTAAAAAGACAGGTAACCAATTAAAATGCAGAATCATTGTTTGAATCCTGGATCAAAATAATCAAATAAATAAACGAATCAGCAAAGAACCATTGAGACAATGGGGAAATTCAAATAAACACTATATGTTAGATAACATTATTGTTAAAGTTTGATTTACAGAAATTTAAAAACCATGAGGAACAAATAAAAAATAAATACATCTAAAATATTTATCTAGCTCACATCACTTAATAAGGGAACCAGTAAGATATTAACCAATCCAAAGATTATATGAAGAGTTAGGTTTCTATAAGGCAAATTAATAAAGGGATATTAAGATAGTATTGCTGGATTAGATATAAAACTAGAGCAATAAACTGTAGCTGTAGAGTTGTTGTTTCAAACAGATAGAAATGATTCGCATCTGTATAAACAGAAATCTACCAGGTGACCTCTGTTATTTCATAAATCTGTGTTAAAAAATCTGTTTCATAAATTTCATAAATCTGTTATAAAATACATCAGTCAATAGAAAATTTACCAAAATTGTAAGCCTAGAACTAATGGGTATACCAAAGGATATCTAGTAATCTCTTTCACTTATTAACAAGTATCAGAATTTGTTTTTTGCTTAATATTAATATATCAAAGTTAAAGTTCTTGTGTGAAGTAACAGAACTTCCACTTTTGTAGAACACTGTCCTAGCTTTTAAAAATTACATGCAGAAAAATTTTGAGATTGTATTTCACAATTATTTTCATATTGCTTTCAAATGGATCTGATAATGATACCACTTGGGGAAGGCAGAAAGTAAATTTGGCCAAACTACTTATACCTGATGAATCTAGATAATGGGTATGGAGGTGTTAATTTGCTAATCTTCCAACTCCTCTTCAGGTTTGGAATTTTTTAAATTAATCATTTGAGGACATCAATAATGAAATATGTAGCATGTTTTGGCATTTTTTCTTATATATATTTTAAGGTGATATCAATTTGCTTCTATATGTGTCCTGATTCTCCAGTCATAGAAAAACCATAGCCCTTAGGACATAGCTTTGCAGTGACAGCGTTTTTGTATTTTTTTTATAGCAATTTTCAAATATCATAATTGCTACTTGCAAGCTGTGTATCATTGGCAAACTTAATTACACTCTGTGTTATGTTAGGGATACGGCACCAAAATTATCAATCATATATTTAATACTCAATAAATTCTGTTAATAGTATTAAATTTTATTTCCTTAGTAGGTAGACCAGTAATCTCCATTTAGTTAAATAGACTCCAAAGATTCTTATAAAGTATAATGTGGGACTAATTTTAAAAGCCTCTAAAAGTACTGATATGGTTTGGCTATGTCCCCACCCAAATCTCAACTTGAATTGTATCTCCTAGAATTCCCATGTGTTGTCAGAGGAACACAGTGGGAGGTAATTGAATCATGGGAGCCAGTCTTTCCAGTGCTATTCTCGTGATAATGAATAAGTCTCATGAGATCTGATGGGTGTATCGAGGATTTCCACTTTTGCTTCTTCCTCATTTTCTCTTGCCACCACCATGTAAGAAGTGCCTTTCACCTTCCGCCATGATTCTGAGGCCTCCCCAGCCATGTGGAACTGTAAGTCCAATTAAACCTCTTTTTCTTCCTAGTCTCAGGTATGTGTTTATGAGCAGTGTGAAAATGGACTAATACAAGTATATACATGTAATGTCAACTTGCTTGTACTGCACTCACTTACCAAAACATACAATGTCTTTTGGTATTGGCTGGGCATTTACGAGCTCATTTTATTGGTGCTGATTATCCCTTGCTAATCAGCATCCATAAAATGCAGTTGTATTCACAAACATTTAGCTTAAAAACGCAAAGGTTTGAAGTTGAAAAAACTCTTTCAAACATGAATCTTGGGTTTCATATTGACTTAAGTGAATAAAGGTAGGAGCTATCTTAATTTTTAGTTGGAAACCAGATTGGAAAAGTTAAAGTTACAGAAACTTCAGATTTCAAAAAATTGTTGTTCTCAAGTGTTCTCACTTTTCTTTGAAATTGGACAGATATGATTTACAGTATTTGGAGAAAAACTTGGAGCAAAAGACAAACTTTCAGAAGAATAAAATGATCCAGACACTATTTTTTAATCCAGATGGAGTTGCAGCTATAATATAGCAGACTTCCAGAGAGAATTAAAAACTCAATTCTTTGCTTGTTCGTTAAGAATCCCATGGTACTTGAAATTTTAAAAACTTTTTTTAAACTTTAATTTATTTGATTAGTGTAACTGACCATAGTGTTTTTTAAATTTAGGTTCTGTACTAAACAGTTTGATTTGGCTGCATTTACAATAAATACTTAATTCCAGTTCAGAGCAATCTTGCTCCAACCATGAACAAAGGGTACATTACTATATTGTGATTTAATACTTAATTACAATAGTACAAAATTATTTCAGATATTCTGTGCATAATACAAGACTCACTACAAAATGTAAATGTAAAGTAAATATAGAAAGCTACAGTGTTGTTTGGTCCAGAACTGTTAACTTGATAAAAACCTTCCTTTAGCATTTAAATCAATATATAGTATTAAATTAATTTGATTGATGAATAGTATAGTGTAAAATGTCTATTTACATGATAGAAGGCAGAGACATTCACTTTAAAGATTCTGAAAAAATAAACTGATAAACATGTATAAATGTAAATATATTTCTTCACCAAAAATTTATGACGCGTTTGTTTCCATATAACATCAATGACAAACTTATTCTCACAAAAAATTTCTGTTTAAAGTTTTAAATTTTTTAGTGACTTTACCTAATACTATGGAAAACGTATTTATTGCTTGAATTATGCAAATTATAATAACAAATTACTAATTTTAAAAATGACTTTTTCTTATTTATTTTATTATATATTGCTGTTAATACTCAGTTATTCCTTAACATCACCTTAGACATGAAGGATATAGTAACCTAATCCAAATTAGTTCATAAGCAAAATGCTGAAGTAGTTATTTTTTTCATGGGGGTTGGATGAGTGGATAGAGGACTCTTCATAAATTTAAATTGCAGGTGTAATGGTTCAGAATTATGACTGAAAGCTGAATGTATGTATTTAACATTATATAGATAGCAATTACTAAGTACCAAACGCTAGTCTAATTATTAAGCTAATATTAAATACTTATTTCTCATACCAACCCTTCGAGGAAGAATGACAGTTTTTAGGGATTTTCACATATAATTGATGTGATTGTTAATATTAGGCGTCGCCTTGACTGGATTGAGGGATGCCTAGGTGGCTGGTAAAGTTTTGTTTCTGAGTGTGTCTGTGAGGGTGTTGCCAGAGAAGAATGACATTTAAGTCAGTGGACTGGGAGAGGAAGACCCACTGTTCTAAACTGTTCTCATGCTGGTAATAAAGACATACCCAAGACTGGGCAATTTATAAAGGAAAGAGGTTTAATTGACACACAGTTCCACCTGACTGGAAGGCTTCACAATGATGACAGATGAATGAGGAGCAAAGTCACATCTGACATGCTGGCAGACAAAAAGAGAGCATGTGCAGGGGAACTCCACTTTATAAAACCACAGATCTCATGAGACTTATTCACTACTATGAGAACAGAAAGGGAAAGACCCACTCCCATGATTCCATTACCTCCCACCAGGTCCCACCCACAACATGTGGGAATTATGGGAGCTACAATTCAAGATGAGATTTGAGTGGGGACACATCCTAACCATATCACCCACCCTCAATGTGGGTGGGCACCCTCCAATTTGCTGCCAGTTTGACTAAAACAAAGGAGGCTGAAGAAGAGGGATAAGCAGGTTGCTGAGTCCTCTATTTTTCTGTCTTCCCATGGCTTCCTCTCCTCCTGCCCTTGGACATCATACTCTGGGTTCTTAAGCTTTAGTACTCTGGCACTTGTACCAGTAGCCTCCGGGGGGCTCTTGAGCCTCTAGCCTCAGACTGAGGGCTGCACTGTCAACTTCCCTGGTTTTCAGGCTTTGGGACTTGGACTGAGCCATGCTGCTGGTTTCTCTCTTTCCCAATTTGAAGATGGACTATCCTGGGACATAGCCTTGTAACTGTGAGTCAATTCTCTCTAATAAAATCTCATATATATATACACACATATATACACATAAATACACATATATATATACATATATCTACACATATATATATACACACACACATACATATATATACATACATACATATCTTATTGATTCTTTCCTTCTGGAGAACACTGACTAATACAATTGGTTTCTCTTTCATGTTATATAGTAGGATTCAACTTCTCCATGAATTGAATTTATGTATGGCTATATGAGATTAGTTGGTCAGTTAAGGTGGAAATGATGTGTGTCACCCTCAATTCTAAATAACCAGTGTGAAATTTTCTCTCGACTATTTGAAGAGGCAATTATTTAGATGTAGTCTATATCCCTAAGTGACTAAGTAGGGCCCCTTTGTGACAATCAATACAAATATGTCAAGAACATGAAAGAAGCAAATTTGTTTTAAGCTACTGAGATTTGGGAAGTTTTTGTTATAGAAGCACAATGTAGTATATCTTAAATGATACAGCTATGTATTGTTATTATCTCCATTGTATACATAAGGGACAGGAAGGCTAACTGGCTTGCCCAAAAAAGCAGAGCTTTCAGCAAAATTAGAACTCTTTCAGGGTGGAAAAGCAATGGGTATACTTCAAAACATTGTAAGGCAAACATAATCTCACAGCTGCATGAGACCAAAAAAAAAAAAAAATAGTTGAGACCTAAAATAGACTGCCTAAAGCCTAGGAGGAAAAGCTTGGGGGAGAGTTTCCTTGGGAAGGTTTGACATTCAAAAGTGCCTATGTACACTGGAGGATTTAGAAAGCCACATACAGGTTCAGAGTGGAATGTATGCTCAGCAAAAGCTTGAGAAGATCATAAGCTTTCACATCTGGGTGATCTCTATCTGAGAAGTGCAATAACTAAATTGAAAATTTCGCTAGGGTATTCAACAGCAGATTTGGGCAGTCTAATCAGGAAATAAAGGCTAAGGCAGCATTGTTAACAGCCTGATTAAGTATTGAAGGAATGCTCCAGAACAGATGCAATCTACAAAAACTGCTTTTTTGTTTGTTTATTGATGTGTTGCCTCCGGCATTCAAGGAAATTTCTGCCATGATACTAGCTGAACACACGCTAAAGGAACTGACAGTTAAATGACCATAAGTGACACTGAATACAATCTTTGCAAAAATAAGAAAAGTTACTAAATATATTTTTACAGTCAAAGATAGTGAGTTCTGGGGAAGAAGGAGAATCTTGTTCCCAGAATTTTCATAGGATTCAAATATTCAGATTTGGATAAAACAGTCACATGACATACAAAGAAACAGGAAACTATGTCTCATTCACAGGAAAAAAAAAAAGTGACAGATACCATCCCTGAGGAATCCCTGACATTGTGTTTATAATATAAATAGTTTAAATAAACAGTCTTAAATATTCTCAAAGAACTATTAAAAACTACACACCAAGAACTGAGGGAAACCAGGAAAATGATGGATGTACAAGTAGACACAAAAAATATTTTAAAAAGAAACAATTAGACATTATGGAACTTAAAATTACAATAACTGAAATAAAAAATTCACTAGAGTGCTCAATAGGAGATTTGAAAAGTCAGAAGAAAATAACAGCAGACTTGAAGATAGGTCAATTAAAATTATCCAGTCTGAAAAACAGAAAGAATAATAAAGTGAACCAAGTGACCTGTGGGATGAAAAAATATATGAAGAATAATGGCAAAAACTTTTCTTATTTGATAAAAAACGTAAATCTCCTGATTCAAGAGGCTCAACAAATTCTAACTAGCATAACCTCAAAAAGATCCATTCTGAGAAACATTACAAGCATATCATTTAAAGTCTATGATTTAAAGTCTTGGGAGGGTGTATGTGTCCAGGAATTTATTCATTTCTTCTAGATTTTCTAGTTTATTTGCCTAGAGGTGTATATAGTATTCTTGGATGGTAGTTTGTATTTCTGTGGGATCAGTGGTGATATTCCTTTTATCATTTTTTATTGTGCCTATTTGATTCTTTTCTCTTTTATTCTTTATTGGTCTGGCTATCCATCTATCTATTTTGTTAATCTTTTCAAAAAACCAGCTCCTAGATTCATTGATTTTTTAAAGGATTTTTTGTGTCTCTATCTCCTTCAGTTCTGCTCTGATCTTAGTTATTTCTTTTCTGCTAGATTTTGAATTTGTTTGCTCTTGCTTCTCCAGTTCTTTTAATTGTGATGTTAGGGTTTCGGTTTTAGATCTTTCTAAAACCGAATTCTCTAGATGAGAATTTTGAAAGCAGCAAGAGAAAGAAACTCATCATTTACAAAAAAATCATTAAGCTGATATTTTATATAAAACCCTGGAGGCCATATTTAGTGGGGTGACATATTTATAGTGCTGAAAGAAGAAAGTCAAACAAAAATTTTATATCCAGCAAAAGTATCCTTCAACAAATCAAGGAGAAATTAAGACATCTCCACATAAAAGTTGTGAGAGTTTGCCATCACTAGATGTGTTCAGAAGAAATGCTAATGGGAGTTCTTCAAGTTTAAGCAAAGGGACACTAGACAATAACTTGAAGAGATACAAGAAAATATATCTCCAGTAACGGTAACTGTAGAAGTAAATATAATTTGACTTCCTCTCTTCCTATTTGAATACTCTTTATTTGTTTCTCTTGCCTGATTGCCCTGGCCAGAACTTCCAATACTATGTTGAATAGGAGTGGTGAGAGAGGGCATCGTTGTCTTGTGCTGGGTTTCAAAGGGAACGCTTCCAGCATTTGCTCATTCAGTATGATATTGGCTGCTGGTTTGTCATAAATAGCTCTTATTATTTTGAGATACGTTCCATCAATACCTAGTTTATAGAGAGTTTTTAGCATGAAGGGGTGTTGAATTTTATCGAAGGCCTTTTCTGCATCTATTCAGATAATCATGTGGTTTTTTTTGTTGGTTCTGTTTATGTGATGGATTACATTTACTGATTTGCATATGTTGAACCAGCCTTGCATCCCAGGGATGAAGCTGACTTGATTGTGGTGGATAAGGTTTTTGATGTGCTGCTGGATTCAGTTTGCCAGTATTTTATTGAGGATTTTTGCATCAATGTTCTTCAGGGATATTGGCCTGACATTTTCTTTTTTTGTTGTGTCTCTGCCAGGTTTTGGCATCAGGATGATGCTGGCCTCATAAAATGAGTTAGAGAGGAATCTTTCTTTTTTATTGATTGTAATACTTTCACAGTGAATGGTACCAGCTCCTCTTCGTACCTCTGGTAGAATTCGGCTGTGAATCCGTCTGGTCCTGGGCTTTTTTTTGGTTGGTAGGCTATTAATTACTGCCTCAATTTCAGAACTTGTTGCTGGTCTATTCAGGGATTAGACTTCTTCCTGGTTTAGTCTTGGGAGGGTGTATGTGTCCAGGAATTTATCCATTTATTCTAGATTTTCTAGTTTATTTGCCTAGAGGTGTTTATAGTATTCTCGGATGGTAGTTTGTATTTCTGTGGGATCAGTGGTGATATTCCTTTTATCATTTTTTATTGTGCCTATTTGATTCTTCTCTCTTTTATTCTTTATTGGTCTGGCTATCCATCTATCTATTTTGTTAATCTTTTCAAAAAACCAGCTCCTAGATTCATTGATTTTTTAAAGGATTTTTCATGTCTCTATCTCCTTCAGTTCTGCTCTGATCTTAGTTATTTCTTTTCTGCTAGATTTTGAATTTGTTTGCTCTTGCTTCTCCAGTTCTTTTAATTGTGATGTTAGGGTTTCGGTTTTAGATCTTTCCCGCTTTCTCCTGTGGGTATTTAGTGCTATAAATTACCTTCTACACACTGCTTTAGCTGTGTCCCAGAGATTCTGGTACATTATGTCTTTGTTCTCATTGGTTTCAAAGAACTTATTTATTTCTGCCTTCATTTTGTTATGTACCCAGTAGTCATTCAGGAGCAGGTTGTTCAGTTTCCATGAATTGGTATCAGTAAAAAGTAGGAAGTTACAAATTTAGAATGTCAATTGTAATCCCTATAGGGACCAAAGAAATGTATCTCTAAAGTACCAGCATGCAAACTCAGTTTAATTCCCCAGTCTATCCTTTTAACCATGTTATGCTCCTTCTTACTGTAAAAGGAGATTTGAATCATCCACACATTCATTGAGCAAATATGTATTTTCACCATCCAGTGATTAATATTGTAATAGGTTCTGGCATTATAATGCTGAATAAAATATTAAACATAGCTTCCAATAGATAATAGTTTTACCATTGTACAATATTTATTGTAACAATAGAAAAATGTACACAAATCAAAACATTTTCTATCAAATAAGTACAATGTAAAAGAAGACATGTTTGTAGTTCTCATACCATTAGAATACTATGAAAAGATTTGCAATATTAGACTCTAATATGAATTTGTTACTAGGTTAATGTTTGTAAGTTTCAAGTGGTCTCTCCACCTCTTTTACCTCAATTCCTGTCCTTCTTCCACTGCAGTCCCACTGATATCCTTGCCATTTCTTAAAAATACTGGGCATATTTCTGCCTTGAGACCTTTGATTTGCTATTCTTTCAGCAAAAACTCAGTCACTGCACATAACCTGGAGGGTCCTCCCTCACGTATTTCACTTAACCAAAGAGGTCTTCTGTGGTCATCCTGAACAAATGAATTGCATTCCTTCCCAGACACTTCCTATTGTAATTTATTTCCTATCTCTGTAATTATTTTTTTGTCGAAATAGATAGTTATATCATCTATATCTATATTTAAACCTATATCTATCTATATGTTCATTTGTTCATTTTCTTTGTTTCCCCAAATGAATATAAGCTTTAGGAGAGCAAACATTTTACCTGTTTTGTTCCCTAGTTAGCAGAAAATGTATTTCTAAAAATATTTGCCAACTATACATCCAACGAAGGAATAACATCCAGAATCTACAAGAAACTCAAACAAATCAGCAAGAAAAAAATAATAATTTCATCAAAAAGTGGGCAAATGACATAAATAGACATTTCTCAAATGAAGATATACAAATATATTTAAAAAATATTCAACATCACTAATTATCAGGGGAATGCAAATTAAAACCACAATGAGATAACACCTTACCCCAGCAAGAATGGCCATTATTAAAAAATCAAAAACAATAGATGTTGGCATGAATGTGGTGAAAGGGAAAGCTTATACACTGCAGGTGGGAATATAAATTAGTAAAACCCCTATGGAAAACAGTATGAAAGTTTCTTAAAGAACTAAAAGTAGACCTACCATTGAATCCAGCAATCCCACTACTGGGTATCTACCCAAAGGAAAAGATGTCAGTATATCAAAAAGACACCTGCACACGAATATTTATTGCAGCACAATTCACAATTGCAAAGATACAGGATGACCCTATGTACCCACTGACCAATGAGTGGATAAAGAAAATGTTAAATATATATAAATGTATAATATATTGATATAAATACATTCTATATAATATGATATACAATAAATATTATATATAATATATAAAATAATAATATAATATACAATAATATAATACAATATGAAATATAATATATAATATATTGTTATAAATATAAATACATAATATATAATATAATAATACAATTTAATATACAATATATAATATATTGATATATAATATATAATATATAAATATTAATATATGTTATATATAATATATAAATATTAATATATATTATATATAATATATAAATATTAATATATATTATATATAATATATAAATATTAATATATAATATAATATATAATATATATACAATATATATTATATTTATATATTATATAATATGTTATATAATATATAAATATATAATATATTGATATCAATATATAATATATAAATTATTTATATATTATATATTTAGATATCAATATATTACATATTTAGATATAAATATATAATATTTATATATAAATAATTTATACAAATATACATATATAATATAATGATATCTAAATATATATTTATATATAAATAATTTATATAAATATAAATATATAATATTATATATAAATAATTTATATAAACATAAATATATATATATATTTATATTTATATAAATATATATTTATAATTATATATATAATTTATATATTTATAATTTATAATTATATTTTTATTTATTTATATATATTATTTATTTATATATAATTATTTATAATTATATATAATTATATAATTATAATTTATAAATATAATTTATATTTATATTTTTATATAAATATAAATATATATTTATATAAATTATTTATATATAAATATTATATATATTTATATATTATAAATATTAAATATATTATACGCATATATTTACATAAATAAATTTACGTATTTATATATACATATGAATATATATTGATATAAATATAAATATATAATATAATTTTAAATATGTATTTATATAATATATTTATATTTATATAAATATATAATATAATGATATAAATATAAATATAATATATTGATATAAATATATACATATACTATATTAATATATAAATATATGCATATAATATATTCACATAAATATATGCCTATATTTATATGAATATAAATATAGGCATATATTTATATGCATATAAATATATACATATATTTATATAAAAATATAATTATATGCATATAATATATTCATATGAATATAAGCATAAACGTATATTTATATGAATATAAACATATTTATATGAGTATAAACATATATTGATATAAATATAAACATATTGATATAAATATTAACATATATTTATGTAAATATAAACGTATAAATATATATATGCCTGGTTGTTAAAACTTTATATAATTGTAATGAAGATTCGATATGAAAAAACATTTTGATGTAATCCCAGCACTTTGGGAGTCTGAGGTTCGCAGATCACAAGGTCCGGAGTTTGAGACAAGCCTGGCCAATATGGTGAAACCCCGTCTTTGCTAAAAATACAATATATCATATATATATAATATATAATGTTTATATAACACACACACACACACACACACACCCACACACACACTACTCAGTCTTAAAAACGACAGAATAATGTCTTTTGCAGCAACTAGGATGGAGTGAGAGACCAGTATTCTAAGTGAAGTAACTCAGGAATGGAAAACTAAATACTGTAAATTCTCATTTATATTTGGCAGCTAAGCTATGGGTATACAAAGGCATACAGAGTGGTATAACACACTTAGACTCAGGAAGGGAAGGGTGGGAGGGGCGTGAGGAATAAAAAACTACATATTGGGTAAAATGCACACTGCTCATGTGATGGGAGCACTAAAATTCCAGACTTCATCACTATACAATTCATCCATGTAATCAAGAAACACTTGTACCCTAAAAAGCTGTTGAAGTATAGATACATAGATAGATGATAGAGAGATAGATATAGATATATAGACAGATAGATAGATAGATAGATAGATAGATAGATAGATAGATAGACAGACAAATGCCTTGAAAGAAATAAAAATATATCTGTAATTCCTAGAAAAATGTCAGGTTCTAAGTATTTGTTGACTGATATGGTCGATGAACCACAATCAATATTATGTAATTTATATTTCACAGAGAATGTAACAGAATGAAACTAACACTGCACAAATTATGTAGTGATAAGATTAAGAGAGATTTCAATATTCCCTGAATCTGTTCTTCTGCCTTGAGGTAAAGTAGTTTGTTTTATAACTTTTAAGAAGAAAATGTTCTAGCATCACATTTCTCTACTCCTACCATTAATTCATGAAATCATAGGATTCTTACAAATTTATCTTAAATATCTCTTAATGAGGTTTAATCTTTTTTCCTTTTTCACTATTAGCTGAGAAAATATTGTAAGTATATCCATTGTAATAGCTTTTGAGACATAAGAACGTTATAACTTCTACCACTAATCTTTACCTTTGCAGAATAAATATTTTAGCTTTATTTCTATGTTTCATAATCAGACTTATAAATTTTTTCTTAATCTCCTTTGGAAGGTGATAACTTCAGTGTTGGTACATATGCTATTCTCCACTTCAAAATATTTTGTAACACAGTAAAGTAAAATGTTAGCAAATTAACGTATTACAGTATTTATGTACATTCTCTCTAATCAAGAGCCAGAAGACTGACCCCTGATGTTGGGACATGCATAATGAACGCATAGAGATTCCACAGTGAGGATTATAACTATTGAGTAAAGAAGAAAATAATGTTAACGCAATTCTGGGATGTTAAGTTATTCAACTATTATAATAAATACCATCCCTTTTCTCTATATTTCCTAGAGGCAGTTAAACAGAACCTGGAGAAATTCTCTGAGATTAACTATGCTCACCTGACTGAACCCTCTAACCATCCCCCACAATGAAGGGAGATATCTATGAATTATTTTTTGCCTATACCATCACTTCAAAATAAAAAATTTAAAAAATGACCATGACTAGGAATTACAAAGGCTTGAAACAAATGCTTGGTTGTTAAAACTTTATATAATTGTAGTGAAGATTCGACATGAAAAACATTTTGATGTAATCCCAGCACTTTGGGAGGCTGAGGCGGGTAGATCACAATGTCAGGAGTTTGAGACCAGCCTGGCCAATATGGTGAAACCCTGTCTCTACTAAAATTACAAAAATTAGCTGGGAATGGTGGGAGGAGCCTGTAGTCCCAGCTACTTGGGAGGCTGAGGCAGAACTGCTTGAACCAGGGAGGCGGAGGTTGCAGTGAGCCAAGATGGCCCCAGCCCCACTGCACTCCAGCCTGGGAGACAGAGTGAGATTCTGTCTCAAAAAAAAAAAAAAAAAAAAAAGTATTCACTCATATGTAACAATTAATAGTTTTTTTATGTATTACCCTTTTAGATGCTTTGAATAAGAGCTACATGGTCCATTCATACTGAATGGGGAATAATAAATACAAATAAACCTGGTCATTTGTGCTGATAAACCACAGATAAACTATCTTTGATAGCAAGTACATAAAAAATCTGAGAAAAATACATAGGTGATAATTGCAGTGTATTACTACTTCCCATTGTATAATAAGTCTATATAGCATTGATATAGTAGGTCTATATCCAAGAATCAATGTAGAGTGATTCAGCATTTATAAATTTTAAAGTAATGAATATTGTATTTAGCTTCTTTAATGTCTTCTTTAAAAATCCTGATATGAAAAAAGTTCAACAAATAGTTAATTTCTATTACTTTAAAAACTCAATAATGACAATATTTTAGTCTCCAGAGCATATGCTACCAATGCAAATTAGAGAACTTTCATTACAATATCAGATTCAATAACGCTTTCCTATAGAAATCTGTAAGCTCATAGATAATAAAGCAACTTATTTTGCATGGAAGTCAAGTTCCTGCTTTGAAGTGAATTTGATATGCTTGTCGTATTTGTGTGAAAGCTTTGGGAATATCTCTTTAGCAGTTATTATAAATGTAAAATAAAAGTATGACGTAAATATAATTTTTTCTCCTTAAAGATAGTAAAAAACAAGTATATTTTATATCGCTAATAAAGTAATATTTCATAATCACATCAAATTTCATATTTGTACATGATTTCAAACATAACAGCTATCCATCACATATAGTTTACCTCTTAAAAAACATTGGTACTACATTCATTCTACTCTAGTTGTTCATAAACAAGCTTTTTTTGTATATTTTAAAAATTTCTTTGAATATTGTCCTATTTGAGAATTTTGAAAATATTTCTTCTCTATTATTGCTTATATCTCAAGCACTTTATAATTTAGAATTATCTGTGAATTCCATTAGTATAAAAATTTGCATTCATATTTTTGAGTTTGACAATGCAATTTTCTTTAAGTACTTTCCA
This sequence comes from Homo sapiens, assembly GCF_000001405.40. Classification (NCBI taxonomy): domain Eukaryota; kingdom Metazoa; phylum Chordata; class Mammalia; order Primates; family Hominidae; genus Homo; species Homo sapiens. The sequence continues at coordinate 84,428,712 of NC_000007.14, forward strand.
CCAAAACTGTATAATTTATCAGTAAAAAGAAAAACATAATAAAACTTGATCAAGTCAGATACTGTCCCTATAAACAATTTAATAAATGCAAAACAATGACTATCAAATGTAAGTAACTTATCTGGGATTAAATTCTTTGACTAATAGAATGTAAGTTATTTAATGAGAGGGAGAAAGGAGCAGAATAAGTGTTCTCATCTTTATTCCATGGGAATCAAAAATCTCTATAAGAAGCTACTTTTCATTTTCACCAAATTTTAGGAGGCTCAAAGCAAGAAAGGACCTATGATGAAGTTCAAGGGTGAAGTGGAAAACCAGAGCTGCTTATTGGGAGGTTCATGTTCCAACACAAAAGGAAGTCATGAGGAATCCAAGAGGAGGGAGACAGTGGTTTAAACCAATTTGAAGATAATTCAGGCTGAGATCAATTAGCATAATTTAGTTACTAATTGAGAATCTCTACTTTATTTATGCCTACATCAAATAACATCACATTAATTTACATTTTACCTACTAATATATCTGCTTGATACTACAAAACATTTCTGTGCTTTTCCACCAACTTTCTTACCTATACAGATACTTCAAAATTGAACTAGTACGACATCTCCAATTTTCCTAACAACAGTTTTGTTCGTTTGTAACCATAGTGTGAACAAGGGATCACTAAGTTGTTTGATAGTTTCAACTATTTTAGATATAAAAGTTGAAGGTGAATATATCAAATTAACACAAAAAAACTATGCAATATATTATGTAACGTGGTTAAATATTGACTTTTGCATTAGTAAAATATAGAGTTTGTTATATATATATATATATATATATATATATATAGCGAGAGAGAGAGAGAGAGAGAGAGGTTAAAATCGTATCTAGTGTATCTGATTACATGTTATCATTCCACTTTTTCCTGCCCTGGTCATCCTACACCCTTCCCCTAAAAATAGAAAGATAGAACCTCAGCATTTTAGGTGGGGGTAGGAGAGGATAGAGGGCAGATCTCTTATCCAAGGGTGTTCTGTCAGGTAAGACGCACAAAAGAAAGACATGGTAAAGGAAAGAATAGACGGTGTAAATACTTACATAATCTTAGTTTTATTTACTGTAAGGAAAAATGTTGGGAGGAAGAAAATGAGGCAGGAAAATGGACATGAAGCCTTTCCTTCCGATGGCATCTTTAACAAGAATACCAACATGTTAATCATCATAAAAATCCCACATATGCTACCTAGGAGCTTTACGCTGTTGCAAAAGTGACTTTCAAGTTGGAGAAACAGAAAGAGAAAATACACATTTATCTTCAAACTAAGTAAATATCTCACTCAAAATGTTGAGTAGAGTGGGTTTGTTTCTTTGTCAATCTAAATGAAATGTAAACCCAATCGGGGAAGCTGTCTTTGACAATCTTTATATTTCATTAAAATATAGCACAATTTTCTTTCATTTGTCTTCCATTTTTTAATAATAATATTCTCTCAGTGTACTAATTATGACACATGTTCAGAATAAAACATACATATTTCAACAGCCTTTAGTTATTGAGAGAATAATTAAAATGAAATGTACATAATTTACGGCAAGCAAAAGTAAGTTTTAAAAATTGAGACATACTTATTAACCAAATATAGTTAACTAAATAACACACTTTCTAAGCAGGGAGACATTTTGCATAAGAACTATTAAATTCTCATAACACTTAAAAAACCAATAGTAAACCTTTGTTGACAAACATGGTTGTTAAAGAATAAAGATAGGTAAAATTTCATGTAGAATGGGCAAAAATAAAAATTATTGCAAACTCATAAGTATCTAACATGGTCAGTTTAGACATGTACTTTTCAAATTAGATTATTCAATCACATCAGTGTGAAAAATAGGTAAAAATTGTAACTCTTTGTATGTAACATAGTAATCTGACTCCATGTTTGATAATTTAGCAAAAAAGTAGGGTTCGTGGGATGAATATTTGGGAAACAGGTTGGCTGAGAGAGCCAGGCATATAATATAAGTTCAAGGTGAAGAAGAATTGTCTCAAGGCCTTCCATCTTTCTTCTATACCTACACAACATAAAATTTGTGTGTGTGTGTGTGTGTGTGTGTGTGTGTGTATTTAGATTATATTGTGTATTTTTACTGTATTTAGACCAGCATTTAGTTTTGGCAAAGAAATAAACAACTAAACTGTGTAACAGTAGCACATATTTTATTTTTTAGAGCACTTTCAGGTTGATAGCAAAATTGAGAGGAAGGTACACAGATTTTCCATGTACACTCAGATATAATAGAAGCTGTATAACATTTTCAAGAAGTTTATGAAGCGTAAAGCTCTAAAAGCATTAGATATTCAAATATAGTCCTGCAATATTATTTTCCCAAGAGTCACTTGATATAATGAAATTTAACATTGATTGCTACTATGTGCAGCTATTTAGAGAATTGATTTCTCCTAATAATCTGGCTGCTGTAAATATTTTACACAAAGGGCAGCCCTAATGAAAACATTTTAGGATTTTTCAAACAATTATATTTCAAGTCTGAGAAAAGCTAAGTGCATTTAAACTTGCCTTTTCTGCCCATGAATATTGAAAGGGCAATTTCGTTTCCATGACTGTGATTCATTGATATCTAATTCATCAAATAAGGCTTTATGAGTGCTATTTGATGTTTAAGGGATCTCATGAGTCTATTAGCCTTTTAAAGCTCTTCTTCTTTGAACCAGGAAGCTATGCTTTGCCAAGCTTAGAATATAACTAGTTTTCCAAAAAGCATATGCTCACTCTTAAGAGTCAGATTTTACTAGATTTGAATTGCACTCAATGACTAAAGCATTTTTTGTCATCTCCTCAGGATAATATGAGAAGAAAATAGAGTATGTTCTAAAGAAGCTACAGAAAATTAAAAATCAGAGTTTTTTTTTTAACAAGGCTACCTATAATTGATAACATTTAAAAAAATAATTTGATCTAAGAATTATTGAATAATAGATAAAGCCAGCTTCAATAATTAGTAACAAAAGGGTGAGTTGTGAGATTCAATTAATTTAACAAGCATATATCAACATTTACATTACAAAGATTCAAAGACTTAAGGGTACCCTGCCTTCAAAGAGTTTACAGTTGAGTAGTAGAGGACTATATGTAAAGAAATAATTACTATACATTATAATAAGTGAATTAACAGAACTACCCACACTGAACACAGAAGAAAAAACGACTTTCTCCCTCTGGTGAGTTCAGGGCAGGTTATATAAAATGAAATATATTTGTAGTTGACTATTAATGATAATGGAAGTTTTACACATAGGCAAAGAAGGGAGACTGTGGATTATTGACCCCCAAAATACCATCAGAAGTATATTTTTTCCAATGGTAAGTGAGGCAGAGTGATTTCTCTTCACTCTAATAATAATAGATAAGAAAAATCCACCCAATCTGTCATTTATAAAACCTTGTACAAAGCTTAAAAATGACAAAAGCCATTGAATGTTTTAATGTAGAAGTGACAGGACAAGATATGTGTTGCAGAGAGAAAAACAGAATCAACATATGTAGATAAATATTCCATTTCCAGTAGTGCCACCAATGTGCTATAAATCATTTAGTTTTTTTTCTGCTTCACTAATCTATTTTTCTCTTTATTCTCTTGTTTCTCTTTAGTACTACAATTATTTTTATTATTTCAACATTTATTTTAGAATCAGAGGGTACATGTGCATGTTTGGTACATTGGTATATTCCAAGATGCTGAGGTTTGAAATAGGAATGATCCCATCACCCAAGTAGTGAGTGTAATACTCAATAGTTTTTCAACCCTTCACATCTCCCTCCCTCCTCTTTCTGGTAGTCTCCAGTGGCTATCATTGCCATCTTTATTTCCATGAGTAGCCAGTATTTAGCACCCACTTATAAGCCAGAACATACGGTATTTTGTTTTCTGTTCCTGCATTAATTCACTTAGGATAATTGTCTCCAGCTTCATTCATGTTGCTGCAAAAAGACATAATTTCATTTCTTTTTGTGGCTGCATAGTATTTCATGGTGCATATGTGCCATATTTACTTTATCAAATCCACCATTGATAGACATCTAGGTTGATTCCATATCTTTGCTATTATGGATAATGCTGTGATGAACATACAAATGTGAATTTTTTTTTTTTTTTTTGTAGAACAATTTATTTTCTTTAGGGCATATACCTAGTAACAGGATTGCTGGGTTGAATGGTAGTTCTGCTTTAAGTTATTTGAAAAATTATCAAACTGTTTTCCACAATGGCTGAACTAATTTACATTTCCTACCACAGTGTATAATGGTTTCCTTCCTCTCCATAGCCTCTCTATCACCTGTTATTTGACTTTATTATTATTATTATTATTATTATACTTTAAGTTCTGGGGTAAATGTGCAGAACGTGCAGGTTTGTTACATAGGTATACATGTGCCATGGTGGTTTGTTGCACCCATCAACCCATCATTTACATTAGGTATTCCACCTAATGCTATCCCTCCCCTAGCCTCCCACCCCCCGACAGGCCCCAGTGTGTGATGTTCCCCTCCCTGTGTCCATGTGTTCTCACTGATCAACTCTCACTTATGAGTGAGAACATGCAGTGTTTGGTTTTCTGTTCTTGTGTTAGTTTGCTGAGAATGATGGTTTCCAGCATCATCCATGTCCCTGCAAAAGACATGAACTCATCCTTTTTTCTGGCTGCTTAGTATTCCATGGTGTATATGTGCCATATTTTCTTAATCCAGTTTATCATTGATGGACATTTGGGTTCGTTCCAAGTCTTTGCTATTGTGAACAGTGCTGGAATAAACATATGTGTGCCTATGTCTTTATAGTAGAATGATTTATAATGCTTTTGGGTATATACCCAGTAATGGTATTGCTGGGTCAAATGGTATTTCTAGTTCTAGATCCTTGAGGAATTGCCATACTGTCTTCCACAATGGTTGAACTAATTTACACTCCCATCAACAGTGTAAAAGTGTTCATATTTCTCCACATCCTCTACAGCATCTGTTGTTTTCTGACTTTTTAATGATCACCATTCTAACTGGCATGAGATGGTATCTCATTGTAAGTTTGATTTGCATTTCTCTAATGAGCAGTGATTATCAGCTTTCTTTCATGTTTGTTGGCTGCATAAATGTCTTCTTTTGAGAAGTGTCTGTTCATATTCTTCACACACTTTTTGATGGGTTTGTGTTTTTTTTGTAAATTTGTTTAAGTTCTTTGTAGATTCTGGATATTAGCCCTTTGTCTGATGGACAGATTGTAAAAACTTTCTCCCTTTCTGTAGGTTGCCTGTTCACTCTGATGATAGTTTCTTTTGCTGTGCAGAAGATCTTTAGTTTAATCAGATGCCATTTGTCTTGACTTTTCAATAGTAGTCATTCTGACTACTGTAAGGTGGTATCTTGTGGATTTGATTTACATTTCTCAGATAATTAGTGATGTGGATCATTTTTTCTTGTTTATTGGCTGTTTGTCTTCTTTTGAGAAGTGTGTGTTCATCTATGCACACAAACTAGAAAATATAGAGGAAATGGCTAACTTCCTGGAAACACACACGAACTCCTAAGAGTAAATCAGGAAGAAATTGAAACCCTAAATAGACCAATATTGAGTTCCAAAATTGAATCAGTAGTAAAAAATCTACCGACCAAAAAAAGCCCTGGACAAAATGGATTCACAGCAAAATTCTACTAGACATATAAAAAGAGCTGGCACCAATTCTACTGAAATGATTCCTAAAAATTGAGAAGGAGGGACTCCTCCCTAACTTATTCTAGTAAGCCAGAACCACCCTGATACCAAAACCTGGCAAAGACACAACAAAAAGAAAACTACAGGCCAATATCCCTAATGAGGACAGACATAAAAATCCTAAACAAAATAGTAGCAAATCAAATCCAGCAGCATGTCAAAGAGTTATTTTACCATGATCAAGTAGGTTTCATTCCTGGGATGTAAGGTTGATTCAAATTACTCAAATAAATGAATGCAATTCATCACATAAACATAATTAATGATAAAATGCTATATGATCATCTCAATAAATACAGAAAAGCCTTCAATAAAATCCAACATCCCAACATGATAAAAGCCCTCAACAAGCTAAGAATTGAAGGAATATATGTCAAAATATTAAGAGCCATTTATGATTAATGCATAGCCAACATCATGAACAGGCAAAAACTGGAAACATTCCCCTTGAGAAGTGGAACAAGACAAGGATGCTCACTCCCACCACTGCTATTTAACATAGTACTGAAAGTTCTAGCTAGAGCAATCAGGCAAGACAAATAAATAAAAGGCATCCAAATAAAACAAGTAGTCAAACTATATCTCCTTGCTGACTACATCATTGTATACCTAGAAATCCCTAAACACTCTGCCAAAAGGCTGGTGACTAATAAACAACTTCAGTAAAGTTTCAGGATACAAAATTAACGTACAAAAATCAGTAGCATTTTTATACACCAATAATATTCAAGCTGACAGCTAAAGAGTGTGATCCCATGTACAACAGCTACACACACACACACACACACACACACTACCTGGGAACACATCTGTCCAAAGAGGTGAAAGATCTCTACGAGGAGGCTGGGTGCAGTGGCTCATGCCTGTAATCCCAGCACTTTGGGAGGCCAACATGGGCGGATCACGAGGTCAGGAGATCGAGACAATCCTGGCCAACATGGTGAAACCCCGTCTCTACTAAAAATACAAAAATTAGCTGGGCATAATGGTGCGTGCCTATAGTCCCAGCTACTCGGGTGGTTGAGGCAGGAGATTCGCTTGAACCTGGGAGGCGGAAGTTGCAGTGAGCCAAGATCGGGCCAATGCCCTCCAGCCTGGCGACAGAGAGAAATTCTGTCAAAACAAACAAACAAACAAACAAACCTCTACAAGGAGAACTACAAAACACTGATGAAAGAAACAATAGATGACACAAACAAATGCGAAAACATTCCATGCTCATAGACTGGAAGAATTAATACCATTGAAATGTCCATACCACCCAAAGCAATCTACAGATTCAACACTATATCTATCAAACTACCAATGTCATTTTTTCACAGAATTAGAAAGCACTATTGTAAAATTCACATGGAATCAAAAAAGAGCCAGAATAGCCAAAGCAATCCTAAGCAAAACAAAACAAAACAAAGCTGGAGGCATCACATTACCCTACTTTAAACTGTGCTGTAAGGCTACAGTATCCGAAACAGCATGGTACTGGTATAAAAACAGACACATAGATTAATGGAACCAAATAGGGAACTCAGAAACAGAACTGCACACCTAAAACTATCTGATGTTCAAAAAAGTCAACAAAAATAAGCAATGGGGAAAGAACTTCCTATTCAATAAATGGTGTTGGGATAACTGGCTAGCTATATGCAGAATATTGAAACTGGACCCCTACTTTTTACCATATACAAATATTAACTCAACCTGGATTAAAAATTTAAATGTAAGACATTAAACTATAAGAATCCTAGAAGAAAACCTAGGAAACACCATTCTGGACTTTGCCCTTGGGAAAGAATTTATGACTAAGTCCTCAAAAGTAATTCTAACCAAAACAAAAATTGATGAGTGGTACCTAATTAAACTAAAGAGATTCTGCACAGCAGAATAAACTATCAACAGTGCAAACAGACAACCTACACAATGGAAGAAAATATTTTCAAACTATTCATCCAACAAAGATCTAATATCCACAATCTATAAGGAACTTAAGCAATTCAATAAGGAAAAGTATTTTCTAAGCTAATGCAATATGCATAACATTTTACTGGGCCAAAGTCTTTCTTTTATTCTTTGTAAAACACTGAAACTTTACAAGATTGATGTTTAAACTTATTTTGGGCTTCTCAGATATAAGTTCGGATTTCTTTGTGTTATAATATGATTTTAAAAATTATATTTATGTTTGCTTTGATACTGACAGTAAATTTGTGTTTGTGTTATTTTCTCATAAAACAATCTATAAGATCATGTTTTGGTGGTAAGTCTGAACATAGATTGCTTGTAGAATGCTTCTCTTATGCAAATGTGCAAAAAGTAAATACATTTATGATTTATAGAGACTAGATTTAAGCCACAGTTTCCTTCATAAATTACTTATCCTATGTTTCCTGAAGGTGTAAACATTAAATTTTAAGTGCATGTGAAAACAATGAAAAATTACTTTTTTCGTGAAAAGTGTTTTCATTCACCTTCCTCAAACAGTCTTAAACTGCCATTTATGTTAAATACCAATGATTCAATTCCATGACAGGAACACAGACAAAACAGAATTGCAGGGACTGCCACCTAAAACAGCTTCTCAACTGTATGTATTTTTGATGTATCATCCTTCTGAATAAAAGATCACAAGCGTTTTTACAATAAGCGCTCTGGATTGTTGAGGTGATTCTTAAAGGGTTAAACAATGAATGATCTATGGTAATTCAAAGGAAAGTATATTTTAATGGCTAAAGGTTCCTAGAGATCAGTTACAATAAAAAAGGAATAATGGAATGAACTGAAGTAGACGGAAATGGAAGGTGGAATTTGGTGTCATGTGAGCTAGTAATTAGTTTTATTGCTAGTATTTAAAGTCACTCCCTGCTTTGGCCACTCTCCCTTGAATGTTTATTTCCAGTTAATAGTCCGACATGAACATCAATTACTTAAATTGATATTGTTATTAAGATAGTCTTAATAGCTCATAAGATTGAATACATTTCCCCTTTTTTGTTTTATTAGAGCATATTTTATTTAAAAACATTATAAATTTAATTTAAAACATAATCTCATGCCTTCATAACATTGACTTTCTAATGCTGGCTTTTTTTTTTTTTTAAGTAAAAGAGGAAAAAGCTGCTTTAAAGAAAAACATTTAAGGAAAGATTTTGAAAATCTGGATATCCATCCTGATACATGAGAACAGAGTATTCCAGAGAAAATTTCAAGCTGGGAAGGCCAATAAGAAATTATCTTGAAAGGTGCAGTAATCAGATTGACAGAATGAATGCAAATATTTAATAGAACATCAGAAAACTGTAATATGTAAATCTTCCAAAATATTTGCCATAATCAGTAGTATATAGATGCTGTTTTTCAGAAACAATTCATATAAACTATAATGCAGTCAGTTTTATTGTTTCCTCAAGCCGATATGGCACTAATTACTCCCCTACAAGCCTCAGCTGATTTTTTAAAAAACCTAAAACAAGTTTTATTTTTACAGAACATGAAACTTGCTGGCTAAAAAGATAAAGAATGAAAGAAAGTCTTTGTGAACCAAGCAATCTATCCAGAAAAGAGCTAGAGAAAAATTTGCAAGAATTATATATTTTCAAAAATTTCCTAAGACTTTAGACTAGGGGGTATGCTTTATTAATTACAAGGAGGTTAAATACTATTCTCTCAGCAGTCAACAATGATGTATTTGCTGTCTGTCTACTATTGGCACAAAATAGAAAGACCAGAATGACTTGGATACAAATACTGTACTCAAGAAGTTTACAGTGCTTTAAAAATGATTTTATATGTATTTATGTATGTGTGCAGGCATAAATTATAAAATAAAAATAGCCAGAGGAAGATGGCCCTATGACATTTTGTATTAGCCTCCATCAATTCAGTTAACTTTTCCCACCACTTCAAGAAACCAGACTAATGTGTTACAATGGAATCCATAGAAGACCAATACAATAATTATAGTATGTGTGCTACAGTAAGTATGGTAGTTACATAGCTAAATTTCACTCATCTGTGAACCGTAATGAGCTAGATAACATTTCTCTAGGCAGGATGTTGGGGTTAACGTGAAGCATGAGCTACTTCATTATGTGAATTATCAAAGATTGCCAGAAAACCATCGGGAAGTCATGCCTTTCACAATAAAACTTGAAAAGCAAGAACATTTTCCCCATGATCTGAGTAAGGACAAGGACTTGATATGTTAAAGACTTCTGTATGGTAAGTAATAAGATGGTACCCACCACATAGAAACAACCAAGAGTTTGAGAGATCAAATAATATCATAAGGGAAATGACTTGAATTTTGAGGTTTCACAGTCCTTGGAAGCCCATAGTCTACATATTATAATAAAATATATATTTTTTAATTTTCTTATTTCAGCTTATAACAGATTTAATTAATGTTACTTCTTTATTTCAGTTAATTACTTTTAAACATGTAATAAGGCAACAACCTGTAAGTATCAGTGTGTCTCAACTGTGCAAAAGAAACTAAAGGAAAGGGCATTTACTTCATGGACTGTTGTGTCAGAGGGGCCTGAGCAGGTTGATACAGCAGTAGCAAAATTAAAAGAGTATCAACTTCTACATACATTGACTACTCTGCTAAATCTAGTATGGAATTAGAATAATACACATTAACTACCTGTACTTCTTGGGGTGTTGTGATTTAAGGACTTACAAATAAGAGACTGGCAAATGGCTTTTCTTCTTTCTGATTTGTATCTATTAGAACATAGGTAAGAATTTAGAGAGGGAGAATATGCACATAGCCTCCCACTTTAAGCCCAGGAAGAATTTTCTATGACAGGATGTAGAATGTACAAGGAAGCATGAAAGGGTTAGGACAAGTGAAATTTCATGTGTCGACATGGATAAATTTTACTTTCCTGCCTGCCTTAAATCTTGGTTGTATTTCAAAAAGTAAAACTACTGTGTTATTTTAGATTACTGACTGCAATGCTAGTTTTATTTACAGTGTTTCTATTAAGCATAAGCAAGGCAGCAGTTATGATTATTTTATTTTGACAGAACAAATATGTGTGCTATGTAAATTTCTGGATTATGTCTGATATTAAAACAAATCCATATAAATAGATGTTTCTGATGAGACTTTTCAAACAGTGACTGTCAAAGGTTAGCCACCCACTAAGAAGATTTAGATTAAGGCTATAAAAAGCTTGCTTAAGGAATTATTCACTGTTAGAAAGTGGAAAAGAAATTAAATCTGTAAACACAAAAGAAATGGGTGAAATGATAGTACATATATAGTACATGTGAGAATTTATGACAATGTTATCAATGTTCTAAGAATAATAAAATAGAAACAAGGCAAATGGAATACATAATGAATTATTAAACCAAGAATATATGTATTTTTAAATGATGAAAATTTAAAGATGAATAAAATCAGGTTAAAAATTTAATAAACCCAGGATATGGAAGATGGATTTAATTCATATATTCAAATATTTATGAGTACCTACCATGTATTAGGCACTATACTTGATAAGGTGATATAGAAGTAAACAAATATGCATGACAATTACATTTGGAACAGAGGAAAGAAACAAGTAAGTGAGAAGGTACTTTGTTAAAAAGCAATACATCAACAGAAGATTCTGGGAAAATGGCAGCGTGTAAAGCACTAGGAATCTGTCTCCTTACCTAGACAACAATTACAATGGCATAATCTGTCAGATGTAACTATTTTTGGAAATCTGGAGTCCGTTGATGGCTTACATCTTTCAGGGGAAGACTTGGATGGGAAACTGTGATTAATTTTGATTATTTTCAGCTTTTAGCACAAAAGTAGCTACCAATCTTCCACCCCTCAGCACCATATCAAGCAGCTGTCCACATGTTCCTGGTGCAGCTTGAACACAGCTTGTGGAAGCCAGGGTAGGTAAAATGGGTCTTGCTTTCCAAATGTCATAATTTGTGCTCTGATCTCTGATTGTTTCTTCTGATCATAGAGGTACAGACATTGTTGTGAGCTCTGGCTGAAGTGACTTTTATGGGACTTAAAGGGCCAATGAATCCTCCGCCTTTCTTTTTTTCTTTTTGTTTTGAGCACCAGACATTGAAGACTAGAACATCAAAAAGCAACTGCATATTCATGGGATAATGGAATGCCACCATGCATGCCCATGGGAAGGCACCAGCAGAGAAGTCTTGAGAAGACCATAAGTTTATACCTCAGTTTGGTCCTCAGCACAGAGACAGCTTACAACAATCAAAGAAAGAAACAAACAACAAAAAAGGGCAGCAAATCCTGGAAAGGCAGGGAATCTCTTTTCTAGTTATGTTATTAGATTCAAATGTCCAGTTTTCAACAAAAATTCACAACGCACACAAAGAAACAGGAAAGTATGGCCGACTTAAAAATAAATAGGCCAGGTGTGGTGGCTCACGCCTGTAATCTCAGCACTTTGGGAGGCCGAGGTGGGCAGATCACCTGAGGTCGGGAGTTCGAGACCAGCCTGACCAACATGGAGAAACACCATCTCTACTAAAAATACAAAATTATCCGGGCGTCGGGGCGCATGCCTGTAATCCCAGCTACTGGAGAGGCTGAGGCAGGAGAATCACTTGAACCCGGGAGGTGGAGGTTGTGGTGAGCCGAGATTGCACTATTGCACTCCAGCCTGAGCAACAAGAGCAAAACTCCATCTCAATAAAAAATAAAATAAAATAAAAATAAAAATAAAAAAAACAGAAACTGACCCTGAAAAGATCTTATAACAGACCTACTAGACACTTTACAACAGATCTATCTTAAGTATGCTCAAAAAACTAAAAGAAGATATTAGGAAAGTCAAGAAATGATGTATGAGCAAAATGGAAACATCAATAAAGAGATAGAAACTGTAAAACAAAACCAAAAAGAAATTCTGGAGCTTCAAAATATAATAACAGAAATGAAAAAAAATACTAGAGAGATTAAAAGTGTGATTTTAGCAGGCAAAATAAAGAATTAGTGAACATGAGAATAAGACATCAGAAATTTTTTGGTATAAGGTGCTGACAGAAAAAAAAATTAAAAACTGAACAATGCCTTAGAGACCTATAGAACACCATCAGGCAGACCAACATACAGAAAAGAAAAGAGAAAGAAAGCATCATAGAAAATGTTTCAAGAAAAGATGGCAAAAACTTCCCAAATTTAGTGAAAGAAGAATATACACATTAAAGAAACGTCAATGAACTTCAAATGTGATGAATTTAAAGAGACACACATGGAGATATATTATAGTTAAACTGTTGAAAACCAAATAAAAGAGAGAATTTTAAAATAAGTAAAATAGATGTGACTGGTCCTACACAAGACATCCTCAGTTAGATCATCAGCAAATTTCTTTTTAAAAGCTTTGGACACCAGAGGCAATGGGCTAAATTCAAAATGCAAAAAACAAACAAAACAAAACAAATCTCAGGGAGAAATTAAAACATTCCCAGATAAACAAAAGTTGATGGAGTTTGCTACCAACAGACGTGCTCTGCAAGAAATGCTGAAGAGACTTACAGGTTGAAATGAAAGAACACTAGATAGTAACTCAAAGACATATGAAGAAAGAGAGATCTCAGTAAAGATAAATACATGGGCAATTATAAAATATAGTATTGTAGTGATGGTGTGTAACTCCACTTTTAGTTTTTGACAAGTTGTAGAAGAGTAATAAATTACAAAATTATGTATTTGCCTAAAACTAATGTCATTGTAACTTTGGTTTGTAAATCCAAATTTTGTTTTCTACCTGAGACTAGTATATTATAAAATTATTAGTTTCAGTTTTGAACACACAATGTATAAAGATGTTAATTTTTAACATCCAAAACTAAATGGGATGGGGAGAAGCCTCTTAAATAAGCAGAGAGTTTGTATTTTATTGAAGTTATGCTGGTGTAAATTCAAATTGAAGTGCTATAATTTTATAAGATTAAAGATGATTCCCATTATAACAATACAGAAGTTAGCTAAAGAATAAACACAATAAGCAATGAGGAAAAAAATCTGAAACTTCTACTACAAAAAAAATCAACTAAACACCAAAGAAAATGTAGGAAGTGAGAACAAAGAAAGGTATGTCATATAAAAAACAAATAGTAAAATAGCAGAAATCTTTCCTTACCGGTAATTACCTTAAATTTAAGTGGACTAAACACTCCAGTCAAAATTAAAAAGATAGCAGAATGGATTAAACAAGCAAATGAACATAAGCCAACTATATATTGTCTATAAGAGACTCATTTTGGATCCAAAGATTAAAATGGGTCGAAGAGAAAGATTATAAAAGGATATTCCTTGAAAATACTAATAAAAAGTCAGCAGTAGTTGGATTTAATAATATCAGACAAAATGGACTAAGACAAAAAGCTCACAAGACATAATGAAGAATATTATGTTGATGAAAGTTTCAATAAAACATAAAGCTATAACAATTATAAACATGTATACAACCAATAGGAGGCCATCAAAATATATGAAGCAAAAATTGAAAAAATTGAAGGGAAAAATAGACAATTATATGATAATTGTTGAAGACTTCAATACACCCCTACCAATAATGAATAGAGCAATCAGACAGAAGTATGCGAATAGAGGATTTAAACAACACAACAAATGAATTAGATCTAACAGACTTATGTAGAACACGCTATTCAACACTATCCAACAATAGCAGCATATACATTCTTCTTAAGTGCACATGGAATAATTTCAGGATATATCATACATTAGGCAACAAATTACACCTCAGAATATTTTAAAAGATAGATCACACAAAGTACAAGGGAACTTCAAAAATTTCATAACATGGAATTAAAAGATAAGAATTAAAAATATACACTTTATTTCTCAAATAAATTCCATCAAGGTCAAGACACTTTTTAATGTAAATATTAGCCATTTTGTCCATTCCTAAAGAACTGAAGGTGCTGTGAATCTAACCATGTCAATGGTTAAATTGACATTTTTTTTACTTTATTAATGGAAAAAAGATCAATGCCCTTTACAGAGTTTTTGAGAGTAGGAAACAAAAAGTGTCAGAAGGAGCAAATCAAGACTGTAAGGTGAATGACTCATGATTTCCCCTTGAAACTCTCACGAAATTGCTCTTCTTTGTTAAGAGGAATTAGCAGGAACATTGTCATAGTGAAGAAAGACTCTCAGGTGAAGCTTTCATGGTTGTTTTCCTGCTAAAAACTTTGGCTAACTTTCTCAAAACACTCTCATAATCAGCAGGTGTTACAGATGTTCTCTGGCCTTCCAGAAAGTCAACAAGCAAAATTCCTTGAGCATTGCAAAAAATTCTTACCATGATCTTTGCTCTAGACCAGTCTACTTTTGCTTTGACTGGACCCACCTCTTGGTAGCCATTTTGATTGTGCTTTGTCCTTTTTTTTTTTTTTTTTTTTTTTTGAGACAGAGTCTCACTCTGTTGCCCAAGCTGGAATGCAGTGGTGTGATCTTGGCTCCCTTCAACCTCCACCTCCTGGGTTCAAGCGATTCTCCTGCCTCAGACTCCTGAGTAGCTGGAATTACAGGCACCTGCCACCATACCTAGCTAATTTTTGTATTTTAGTAGAAATGGGGTTTCACCATGTTGGCCAGGCTGGTCTCAAACTCCTGACCTTAAGTGATCTGCCCAGCTTGGCCTCCAAAATTGCTAGAATTACAGGTGTGAGCCACCACACCCGGCCTGATTGTGCTTTTCTTCAGAATCATACTGGTAAAGATACGTTTTATTTTCTGTTAAAATTCTTTGAAGAAATCATACAGGATCTTAATCCCACTTGTTCAAATTTTTTATTAAAAGCTCTTCTTGTCTCTGCAGTTTATCTAGGTGCAAAAAAATGTGTCACCCATTGAGTGAAAAGTGCTCAACTTTAATTTTTCAGTCAAAAACAAGTGAGAAGTCTTTGGTATTGGTCATATTTCTACTGTTAATCATTTTCTTCAATTAGAGCACAAACAAATTAATTTTTTTCTTTACAAATTAAATTAGATGAGCCATTGCTGTGGGCTTCATCTTCAACATAGTCTTGTACATGCTTACAGTGATTTTCTTTTCTTTTTTTCTTTTTTTTTTTTTTTGAGACGGAGTCTGGCTCTGTCTCCCAGTCTGGAGTACAGTGACGCGATCTCGGCTCACTGCAAGCTCCCCCTCCCGGCTTCACGCCATTCTCCTGCCTCAGCCTCCCGAGTAGCTGGGACTACAGGTGCCCGCTACCACACCTGGCTAATTTTTTGTATTTTTAGTAGAGACGGGGTTCACCGTGTTAGCCAGGATGGTCTTGATCTCCTGACCTCGTGATCCGCCTGCCACAGCCTCCCAAAGTGCTGGGATTACAGGTGTGAGTACAGTGATTTTCTTATTTGTAAACTGCTCATTTCCTGGGGCATTGTTCATAAACTTTTCATAAAACATCAGTGATTTCATCTTTCTTCACCCAAGCTTCTCCATAAATTAGATGTTTGCTCTTGCTTCAATTTTAGGAGGATTCATGTTGCTCTGATAGAGGCTCTTTTAAAACTGATATCTTCTTCTGAGTGCCTCAAACTAGATCCTGTTTTGACATAACAAATTAATATAATTTTTTTCTGATGCAAATAAATTTTGAAATCCACATTTAGTTTCTAAATAATATGCATTTTCCATGAACATTCTGAAGTCACATATATCTTCTCTGACCACACTGGGATGGTATTAGAAATCAATAATGAGGCCGGGTGTGGTGGCTCACTCCTGTAATACCAGCATTTTGGGAGGCTGAGGCGGGCGGATCACGAGTTCAGGAGATCAAGGCCATCCTGGCTAACATGGTGAAACCCTGTCTCTACTAAAAAATACAACAAAAATTAGCTGGGCGTGGTGGTGTGCACCTGTAGTCCCAGCTACTGGGGAGGTTGAGGCAGAAGAATGGCATGAACCCAGGAGGCAGAGCTTCTAGTGAACCGAGAGCATGCCACTGTACTCCAGCCTGGGCGACAGAGTGAGACTCCATCTCAAAAAAAAAAAAAAAAAAAAAAAAAAAGAAAAGAAAAGAAAAGAAGAGAAAAGAAAGAAATCAATAATGAAAGGAAAACTTGAAAATTCACAAACTTATGGAAATTAAATAATACACCCTTAAACAACCAATGGATCAAAGAAGAAATCACAAAGGAAACTGGAAAATACTTAGAGATTAAACCAAAAATACTATAAGCTGAAACTCATGGTGCATAGTGATAATAGTGCTAAAGAGGAAATTTATAGTTATAAATGCTTACCATAAAAATCAAGAAAGATCTCAAAGCAACACCTAAATTCACAACTTGTAGATCTAGGAAAAAATACAGCAAAAGGAAGAAAATAATAAAGATTAGAGAAGAGGAAAACAAAATAGAAAAGATAAAAAAAAAGAATGAAGAAAAGCAATAAAACCAAAAGTTTACCCTCTTAAAATATCAACAAAATGGACACACCTTTAACTATATGTACTAGGAAAAAATGAGAGAAGACTCAAATTACTAAAATCAGAAAGGAGTGTGGGAATATTATTACTAATTCTATAGAAATAAAATTGATGAGAAGAGGTCACTATAAGCAACTGCATGCTGATAAATTGAGTAACTTAGATGAATTGGACATACTCCTAGAAACAAATATCTAACAAGACTAAATCTTGAAGAAATAGAAATTTGAATACAACAATAACTAATATGGAGATTAAATCAGTATTCAAACATCTCTTGATAAAGAAAAGCATCAGCTCTGATATCTTCACCAATGAATTCTACCAAATATTTAAAGAACACAAATCTTTCTCAAATTTTCCAAAAAATTAAATAACATTCTATGAGGCCAGTGTTATCTTGATACCAAAGCCAGCCAAAGACACTACAAGAAAACTAAAAACTAATGTCCCTGATGAATACTGATGCAAACATTCTCAACAAAATACTAGCAAACTGAATTCAGCAATATATTAAAAGGATTATACACCACAACTAAGAGGAATTTATTCTTGGAATAAAAAAATGGTTCAACATAAGAAAAAATAATCTTGTAATACACGTAGACAGAGTAAAGGAATAAAAAGTCATCTTAAGATGTACAAAAAGCATTTGACAAAATTTAACATTACTTCATGATAAAAACACTCAGCAAACTAAGAATATGAGGAAATTACCTCAACATAGAGGCCATATATGAAAGCACTCAAGGAATATCATAGTTGGTGAAAGACTGAAAGCTTTTCTCCTAATATCAGAATAAGGCTAAGATATCTGCTTGCACCACTGATGGTAGTGGTGGCCCATGTGGAGCAGCTGCTGCAAGGATGCCAGTTGCAGTGGGGGAGGCACAGCCAGGCTTATGTGCTCCGTGGAGCTGGCGGAGGTCAGGAACAGGTGGGAGCCCCACCTGCTTTTAAGTGGGTGGGGCAGGAGCCCCGCACTCTTGGCTGCAGCTGCAGCTGCCCAGCCACAGCTGGGGACCCAGGCATCCCCGCACTCTCAAGGCCTGGGAAAACCCCTGCTCCTGCAGGCTTGGAAGTGCTTGCTCCCACTACATGGCCTCGCTCGGCTCCCCGTGCCTGCTCTGATTTCAAAGCAAAGTTGAAGCGAGCCCAGGCGCCATCACGACCTGGCCAGGTGTGCACACATGTGGGGTGGTGCTGACATGCCAGCCCCCTGCCGCTTCGATGCCCTCTGGTCTTTGAGTGCTGACGAGTATGGGAGGCGCGACCAATGGGAGGCTGAGGGCAGCTTGGCATGGGCCTGCAGGCACCCTTTGGGACAAATAGCCCAGGCTCTGTGGACAACATGATTGATTGGTAACAGGAGGCAGATAGGCTCCTGGGCGGAGAGACGGTCCTGGTGAAGCCCCACCTTCAAGCCAGGGATGGCCTGAAGTCTTGGGGCCAGGCTGTCAGTTCCTGGTGGAGTCCCCCACACAGAGTGAGAACTTGTGCTTTTTCCTGGCCTTGCCCATGGCCGCCCATGGACCAATCAACACACACCTCCTCCCTTCTGAGCCCATAAAACTCCCCGAACTCAGCTAGACTCAAACAGACGTCAGAACTACCAGCTTCAGTTAGGAGATACCCACTTCGGGGTTTCCTGGACTCATTGGAATGACCTGCCTGTGGAAAGGAGCTACCCACTTCGGGTCTCCTAAGAGCTGTTCTGTCGCTCAATAAAGCTTCTCTCCACCTTGCTCACCCTCCAGTTGTCCGCATACCTCATTCTTCCTGGACATGGGATTGAAAGAGCTGTAACACAAACAGGTTTGAAACGGCTCCCCCAACGCCTGCTTGCCACGTTGCGGGCTATGAGGAGAGAAGTGCTGCAGGCCTTCAGGAAGCCCAGACCTAGGGTTACCCTTTTTGGGGCTCTGCAGTTCCTGCCATCTCCAAGTTTCCAGGTGCCACCGCATTCCGCTAGCTCAGACACAGTTGCCCACAGCAGAATCTGCATGTGGTGCATCTGGTCCAGCTACACAGCCTCACACAGAGCTGGCACCTGGATTTGCCCACCCTGCTGCAGCAGCTGGTGTGCCCGGTGTGCCTGGCTGTGGTGTGCCAGACCCCGCATTCACTTGGCCATACACCCTTCGTCGCTCCCTGCCTGGCTCACCCTTGGCAGGTGTGGGTTCTGGGCCAGTACTGTGAGCCGTGCACAGCCTGCCAGGTCGAGTTGGAGGAAGGAGCCCAGCAGGCATGAGCAAAACTCAGGCAAAGACGCCACCAGCCACAGAGGTTTCTGGCTGGCGAAGTGACACCCCAATTATCCCGTGAAACTACTTCTGTTTCACACAGTATTAGAAGTTGTAGTAAGAGCAATTGGGCAAAAAGAAAGAAATAAAATCCAAGTTGAAAAAGAAGTTGTTAAAATCATCTCTGTTTGCAGCTGATATATATAGGAAATGCTAAAAATTTCACAAAAAATTATTAGAACTAATAAATGAATTCATTAAAGTAGCAGGATACAAAGACAACACTTTAAAAATTACTTGTATTTCTATACACTAACAGTGACTAATCTGTTAGTGTATAGAAAAGGAGATGAAGAAAGCAATTTCATGTACAATAGCATCAAAAACAAAAACAAAATTAAAATCTTAGGAATTAATTTAACAAGAAAGTCAAAGAATTATACAAGAAAAACTACAAAACATTTCTACAATGAACATTAAAAAAAGTAAAGAAATGGAAAAATTTAATTTTCATGATTGGAAGACTTAATAACGTTAATATGTCAGTACTACACAAAGTGATTTACAAATTCCGTGCAATTTGTTTGAAAATTCCATTTCCATAGAAAAAAAAAAAATCTAACATGTGCATGAAAGCACAAAAAAGCTCCAATACCCAAAACAATCTTGAAGAAGAATGGCAAATCTGGGGGCATCACACTTTCTGATTACAAAATGTAGTACAAAACTACAATAACCACAACAATCCGGTTCTGGTGTAAATATATATAAACAAATAGAATAAAATAAATACTCATGAAATATACTCTCACATATATGGCCAAAAGTATTTCAACAAAATTGCCAAGACCATTCAAGGGAGAAAAGACAGTATTTTCAACAGATGGTGCCAGGAAAACTGCATATGCAAAAGAATAAACTTGGACCTTTACCTAACACCATATACAAAAATTACTTTAAAATGGATTCATGGTCTAAAGGTAAGACCTAAAACTATAAAATACTTAGAGAAAACATAGATCAAAAGTGTCACAACATTTATTTGTGAATTATAGCTAAAGCAGGACTTTGAATGAAACGTATAGATGTAAAGAAAAAGTATGAAATCACTTATCCAAGCAGCCATCTTTAGGAAGCTATAAAAAAGAAGAGAAAATTACCCACAAACTAAGTACAAATCAATAAAATGAAAACTGACAAACATAGAGAACAATCAACAAATTGTTAAACCTCTAATTAGACTAACCAAGAAGAAAAAAACAAAGAGAAAACACAAACTGCAAACAACAGGACTGAAAGAGACACCACTACAGATCATACACATATAAAAAGATTAATAAGAGGATATAGTGAACATTGTTATTCAATTAAAGTAATTGAATTTATTATAAAATCCTTCCCACACAGAAAACTCCCAGCCTAGATGGCTATACCAGTAAATTGCCTCACACAATGAGGGAGACAATAATATACTCAAATATACGTTGAGTATATTAATAAATATACTCAAATATACCCTGTAGAAACTTTTTCATTAAATAGCAACTCCCCATTTCCCCCTCACCATGTCCTCTGGCAATCGTCATTCCACTGTCTGCTTCTGTGAGTTTGACTATTTTAGACATCTCATGTTAAGTGGAACCATGCAATATTTGTCATTTTGTGGCTGAATTATTTCACTTAGCATAATATCCTCAAAGTCCATCCACGTTGTTGAAATGGCAGGATTTCCTTGTTTTTAAAAGCTAATTAATATTTCATTGCATCTATTACAACATTTCCTTTATCCATTCATCCATCCACATACGTTTGGGTTGTTTCCACATCTTGTCTATTGTGAATAATGTTGCAATGAACATGGAAGTGCAAATATCTCTTCCAGATTCTGACTTCAATTCTTTTGGATAAATATCCAAAAGTTGGATTGCAGGGTCATAAGGTAGTTTTATATTTAATTTTTTTGGGAAACCTCCATAATTCCATAGCAGCACCTTTCACATTCCCACTAACAGAGTACAAGGGTCCAATTTCTCTACATTCTCTCCAACACTTCTCTCTTTCTCTCTCTCTCTCTTTTGATAACAGACATCTGCAGGAGTATAGGGCCCCAGATGGTCTTGGATGACCAAGCTCTTCCACTCTTGCGTGCAATTCTTGGGCAGAATATACCAAGAATGCCACATTCTGAGATGAAGAGGAACTTTCTGGAAAAACCTGGGCTGTGTCCTTATTCCTCCCAGAACAGGACCTTCTGCAACTCTTGACCTCAGTGACATGAATGTGTTCAGGCTATAAAATGCAGAGCTTAGTGCTTTGAGGAACACTCATCTGTGATGCAATGTATGGCACATGTAGACAAGACTCCATCCATTCTGGAAAGCTTTCCTAAACTGTGGAGTACTAGCTTGCCATTGATTATAGAATTCATTTATTCTTGCTGCCTATTTGTAAGTAGTAAATTTACTTTGTCTGAATTGTGGGAGGGTTCTGTCTCATTGTACTAGACCTAAAAAATTTACAACATCCTAACAGGTGTAAAATATCTCATTATGCTTTTGATTTGCATTTCCCTAATTCGTGATGTTGAACATCTTTTCATAAACTGGACTATTTATTTGTCCTCTTTGTAGGAATATCTATTGAATTCCTCTGTCAGTTTCTTAAATTAGATTATTTGTTTACTGCTACTGAGTTGTTAGAGTTCCTTCTATGTTTTCATATTAACCCCTTAGCAAATATATAGTCTGCCAAGTATTTTCTCCTTTTCTTTAGGTTGCCTTTTCACTCTGTTAATTGTTTGCTTTGCTTTGTAGAAGCTTTTTAATTTGATGTAATTCCAAGTTTGTGTTTGCTTTTGTTGCCTGTGCTTTCAGTGTCATAGCCAAGAAATCACTGCCCATACCCATGTCATAAAACTTTCCCTTATGTTTTCCTCTAGGAGTTTTAAAATTTCATTTTCTTAGATTTAAGTTTTTAGTCCATTCTGAGTTGAGTTTTGTGTGTGATATAAGATAGGTTCTATTTCATTATTTTTCATGTGGATATCCAGTTTTCTCAGCACCAACTCTTAAGAAAAAAAATGTGTACACATAACATTTCTTCTAACCCTATATACATACTTTTTTCCTTCCCCCTTGGGTCATATTTAAAGTCACTTCCACCAGTATTCAAGGTCATAGGGAAAAGTCTCTGTTGTCAGTTTTGAATCATTCTGGAACAAATTTTGCCCAGCTATCACAAATAACTCCTAAATTGATTAAAGATGTTTATAGCCCTAAAATATTGTTGAAAAGCAAAACTAAATGGTTAACCTGAGATTTTGATTACTCTTACCTATGATAGTGATGACTTTTATAGAGTATGACAATAGATAGAAATTTGCCTCATAGAAGCATGAATATTCAGTGGAGAAGGAACTAAGCTCTCTTGTTTATAAAGCCTCTACAAACTTTGAAATCCAGAACTACTTTACAAATTGACACGGTTTGAAAAGTTACAGCAAATTTATCACAGAAAATACGCCTTGACAAAACTTCTGTTGGAAAATCATCAGTGACTCAGTTTTATGTTGAGTTCATGTTTCATTGGACACTTCATTGCAAATAGGAACATAGTTCCCATTTTTAAAGGTATGTTATCCCTCTAAATTCCCCTCTTCTAAGTTAGTTTGATGAAGTTGGAATCCAGTATTTTTGTTTTTAACTCTGTAGTCTACATAACCTTTGTTAGTATCATTATATTTTCCACAAATAAAGGAACAATTACATGGGTTAAATTTGCAATCTTTCTTCTCCTACTCTTAATCTATAAGTGAATTTAGTAGCAAATATTTAATTGTTTGTTTTTCAAATATATTTTTTAAAATTATATTCCTCTCTTTGCTTGTTACTTATTTAAATATAGCTTTAACATCCATTTTTTTACACACCTGACAACAGCCAGAATAAAAACATTCAAAGAAGGATCACACATTTGTCCTATTACTTTTTAAGGCTTCAAAGTTCAGTGTTTGGCAAAACAGAATTATCACTTAATAAATATACTCAAAAGTTATTATTTTAAGGCAATATATTTTTTAAAAATAGCCAGTACTAAAGTAATTGAATTTAAATATGAACCTACTTAGATGTTATTTTGGATGAGTGACGTGCCATAAGGCTTCCTTTATGAACAACAGCAAGGCCATGGGCACCTTAGTGGAGAATGAATCCTATTGTTTGAGAGTTGACATGGCCAGCAAAACAGATAGGTATCATACACTTTGTGAGTATGATATGGCCATTTGAGAGAATTTTGTTATTCCCAGAAACATTCACCAAGATAATATATGGTGGCATGATCGATAATACAAATATGGTATGCTTCTTTTCCAAACCTACATGTTCCTTTTTTATCGGCTCTCAGCATGAAATTTTAATACTGTTATGTTACTATGTATAAAAAATAGTTTTAAAAGAGTTTAAAAGCCAGAATATGTAGTTAGACACTCACAGGACAACTATGTATTTTGCCACAGGCACACCTCCATAGGGTGTTGCTGATGAAAGACTGCACACGGCAACAACAATTCACCTAGCTGTTTTCCTTCTAGCAAGCCTATGATGGATGCAAAGTTCATCTGTCATTGACCAGAGGTGTCATTTTTCTTTTTGTTTTGCAACTTGTCTGAACTTGATGCACTGGGTCACTTGTTACTCTGTGTGACCATTTGTGAAAGCAAACAAGGGCCTTTTTTGGGGGGGAAGTAAATCTTTATACACTGTCAGAGTCTTTCCCCTTCTTTTTAACATTGGAAGTTTGCATGGTAACATCCTACAGATTTGTAGCAGGTCATTTTTACTAGTAATAGCTTTAAAATTTTCTAGGTTAACCTAATCCAAAACCTTCCAGTGTTTTGTCTCAACTTTATCAAACGCAAAGGAATCTGGAGGAAAAAAAATAGTCGTATCCTTATACATATCGAATACCTACTGCTAAGCAAATTCAACAGTGACAAACGTGGAAAGAGAGATGAATCTAATTTCAGGGAGTATTATGGTTCATGAGACTTTGTTTCTTTTTTTTTTTTTTTTGAGACGGAGTCTCGCTGTCGCCCAGGCTGGAGTGCAGTGGCGCAATCTCGGCTCACTGCAGGCTCCGCCCCCTGGGGTTCACGCCATTCTCCTGCCTCAGCCTCCCGAGTAGCTGGGACTACAGGCGCCCGCCACCTCGCCCGGCTAATTTTTTGTATTTTTAGTAGAGACGGGGTTTCACCGTGTTAGCCAGGATGGTCTCGATCTCCTGACCTCGTGATCCGCCCACCTCGTCCTCCCAAAGTGCTGGGATTACAGGCGTGAGCCACCGCGCCCGGCCGAGACTTTGTTTCTATTGAGTGATAGAGACAATGCATCCTGATTCACACAGTGAAATGCTACTTTCTTCTGAGTAAAGTCAAGAAATGGTGTATAATGGAGTCACCAGAGAGACACATTCCCTGTCTCTACTTAAAGTCTACATTGTCTGTATTAAATATTCTATCGTGTACATTATCTCAGTAATAAGTACTCTGTAACTTATTAAGAATAGCTGTCTGCCTTTCTTTGCAAAAAAAACTTGTGTAAAATTGTTTGCTAATTTGCAGAGGACAGCTGTTGTTCAAATATCACTTCAATAAATAAAAACTGACTTGATTAGATGATTTAATTCTAGTTACACTTTTTTTTCTAGAAAAGAAAGTAATACCTAAACTTATTGATACTACAGTGATATATTATTGCAAGATAAAGAAAACTACTGCATCAAAAAATGAAGTAGGTGGACTTATAAATTATTCTTAACAGAGCAATAAAAATGTATCCACAATACATGTGCTACTGTGCTGCAATTATTTACAGTACATGGAGATGTAATTTGTTAAAATATTCGCCTCAATTCTCTAGCTTGCATATATTCAAAGTGTTAAGGCATCTGAACTCTTTTCTTTAAAATGTAAAAATGTAAAAGAGCTGTGGAGTCTTGCTGCAATTTGGGGAATATTTTCTCTCTTTTGCCATTTTTTATTCTTATTTTGTAATGGCTTTTTTTAAATTACCTATGGAAGATGTCAAGCTGTGTAATACTAAGACTTTAATGTGTTTATTCTGTGAAACAGTAAGACATACATCAGACACAGATAAGTCATTTCTTGGCCTTGTCCAAAGAGTTACTAACATTAAGGTAACAGCTTAGTTACTTTTTCCATGCACTTTCTTTCCACCTGTGTATAGAGGAGCTGAGTAACCAGTTATTTGACACTGGCAAGTCTGAGCATTCACAGTACCAATTATTATAGTAATTTGAATGTTACTAAAACAGTAACTTTAAATATCATTTTAAAATTCATGACAACAATAGCATGAATGTGGTAAATGGTATAGTACAATTACAGTGAAAAATACAAATAATTTTCAGTGAAATATTGTATATTCATGTAATACAAATGATGTCTTGGGCTATGTACAAAATATTGATAGAAAAACACCCAAAATGAAAACAAAAACAAAAACCCTCATTCATATTGTTCAACAAAAACTATTTGACTCTGATTTTTCCTGCCATCTGGTGGCAAGATCAAAACTTAGACAATATTTAATCATATTAAATCTTTTTACAACTGTCAAAGTACATTAAAATTAATTTTATATGAACCCAGTAAGAGACTGAATAAGCCTAGTAATTTCATGTACAATCTAAATATAATAGTTATTTTAATTATATTAACAAGTAGCACCTCAAGGTTTAATGTAATCTTTAAAACTATATGACAAATACAATAAAAATGAAACGCTCTCAATGAACCTGAATGTGTAGCTAGGTCACATTGGTAGGTCAATAGTTCTCATTTTATGACATTGAATAATTATTACAAATTAAGTAGATAGTATTGTAATATATTAATTCTTTCTATCAGAAAGTGAAATCTGGTTAAAATCTGAAAGATAGTTTTTCAACAAGAAAATGACAGAAATATGAATACTCTTATTTTTCATTTTTTATGAAGTTGAGGGATGGGGAGGAATAGCTCTTTCTAAAAAAGGTTAAAAATAAAACAGGTAGTTTAAGATTAAAATAAATATAGTTTCACATAAACATTGTATAAGTTAAATACTTGCAATGCATTCTTTTCAAATATGACTTCAATGTTTATTTTACAAAGTGCATTTAAAAACTACTTTGTTTAATATTTTCCATTCCATTGAACAATAATATTTAAAAGGCTGTATGTTAAACTAATATTTCTAAATGTTCAATATATGTTTGATTAATAAAAATATTTTATAACCTCTTTACAATAGCTTAGAAGGTATGTGATAGTAACATATATTACATGTTAATTTCAGGAAGGCAAGCTGAGTTAGTGATATCAACAGTTGGCAAACTCAGTTCTTCATTTGAAGACTTTTTTTCAGAGTGATAATTTCTATGATTTCAATGTGAATAATTCTTATAGTTTGGTCTGAAGCTTATTAGAAATACAGTTGTGTACAATTAAGAGTATTCTTAAGTTTAGAACGAAGTGATAAGAATTTTCTTAAATTCATAACTGTAAACCACTTTAAAAGTTACAAATGTTTCCAAATTTCAGGAAGTAAACATCTGTTTCATTTTATATATGGGAGAGGGAAAAAATTAGAAAAAGATTTAACCAGTGTAGTAACCAAATACTCTAAATTTCATGCTAATGAATATCTCTTCTTACCTACTTGGCAATAGGCAATAGCTGAAATAGCTTGTGAGACAGCTGAATAGCTGATTCATGAAGGTCATATGGATACATATTCTGTCTACACAGCATAAACTGAAATGGAAATTTGGCAGCTACCCAATTTATGTGATCCTTGGCAATTCAGGCCTTAAAGTAGATTTAACACTTGCAAATGAGATGACTAAAAGTAAGGATGTCTGAGATGATATTCTAAATTATTTCATGCGCTTCACAACTTAAGATCTCCTATGAGAAAAAAATATTAAAAAAAGAAAATATCCTCCTTTTTTAAATCCTCTGTGCTTATAAAGAAATGCTTATAAAAATAAATTAGATATTCCAACATATAGGATGCTTCAAATCAAGTCGATTTGGGGAGTAGGTGGTGGATAAAGTCTTAATATGGTAAAATCTGTTATTCTGTGTTGAAAGCCCAAAGAATAATCTAATTCATAGTACTCTTGGAATTCTAAATCAATAAAGGAGTCATTCATCAATTTTTTAGCATTTATATATCAGACACTCTGATTAAGTAAGAGATTTTAAAAGCACCATCTTTTAACCATTTAACTTTGAATGGGCCAGATATCAAATGATAATCATTCTACCATGTAAAACTAGATGTCTGACATTAATCAAATAGAAAGATTTACATTTCGTAAATATTTATTGTTTAATAATCATTAATATATTGATTTAGGTAACTGCATACCTGGATTTAGGTAACTATAACATACAGTAAAGTCTTTAGAAAATAATTTCATTGGTAAATTGTTCAATTGAAAAAGTTGTCATTTTTAAAAATAAAGAACCATGTTATATTTGGCTTTATTTACGTTTAATATCTAAAATGCTACTTCAGTGCTTTGTAGGGGTACACAAACAAACACAAGGCAAATATATATCCATTTGTAGAATATGTTAAAAAGACCCTTTTAACCTTTGAGCAATTTTGTAAGTTAAATTTTCTTATATCCACTATGATGATAAATAAAATAACTGAGGCTAATGGACCCTAAGTTACTTGCTAATGTCAGCTAATAAGCGATAAAGCCAGGATACTCCAATTCAGGTTTTCAGATAGCAAGCATACTGCTTTGGGTAAGCAAAGCAGTATATTTATATAAGCACTGCTTATATAAATATACTTGCATTTTGGTATCAAAAATAAGTAGACCCCAGTCTCAAATTTCCCAATGACATAACTGGTACCATTAAAAAAAAATCTGGTAAGATTGTTGCTAGTGTGGAATGAAGTGTTAGGATGAGTGGATGAATAGGAAAAATGGCAATTTTCTAGTTTTCCTGAGTCAGTTATTCCACAAGCACAAATATACTCTTATTCATATATACCAATACATTCTATATTTCATCACTATCCAAGTCAATTTTACAAATTTCAGTTTTGCAGCTCCTGTGCTCTCTCATGAGTAATCAAAATCTACATGCAGAGCAAACTCCTTGGAAGTTGTTAGTATTAGGTAAGGGGCTGCAGTCAATGGTGAAAGATTTGATATTTAGAAGAGGATGATTTGCCTTTTACATTTTTTTTAGCAACTGTGAAAATTCAAAAATAGTGCTTACGTTATAAAATTAAAGTAATTTAAATTTAAAGAACTTTTAATTGAATTGATGTTTTGGCCCAGTGAATCCTTTGAAAATGGAACTAGAAAATATTTTGTTCAGATGAGGCATTTCTGCCAGATTAAAAAACATAATATCAAATGTTGCTGTTTAATCAACTGTTACATTTACTGAATGTAACATGATGTAATTAACCTCTGATTATCCATTTGAAGTGTTCTGACTTGAAAATACAAATATACCTAGTTATAAATAAGGGAAAATACATTTCTAACTATTCTTAATTTCTTCTCAAATATATTGGTCAACCAATCTTTAGAGATAGATAATTATTAGACAAAACAATTCACTTTTGTTATGTAGCTATGAAAACAAGTATATACATCATACATTAACTGATGTATGGGAAATTAACAAACAGATAGATAAACAAATAAATGTATTAACTGATGTAAATGAAATGAAGAAAGCCACCTTGGTAAGTGACCAGGGTCTAAGTATACCTGACTTTTAGTCTTAGTACTTCCACTGACCCATTATGAAGTCTTAGGTAAGACTTTATGTTTACAACCTGTTTCTTCAATTGAGTTGATGTTACATTAAGCTCTGTTTGAGGATGACATAATTCAAATTTTATGAATAGTTACTCTAATCACAGAAGCATTATATGCACAAGAAGATTCTGAGTTTGTGATATGGCATGCCTCATGTTTACAGGCAATGCTTCACGTTTATATCAAGGGAGTGAGTTTCCTTCTGTAGTTTTTTTGTAAAAAGAATACATCTTATCTGTTAATTTAACATGTACACCAGCTTTTATTTGTGTCTCTCTTTAAACAAAGGAAATTCATGTTCAAAAACATCTTCATTTAACTTTAGTATTATTCAACATATTATTGCCATATTAATTCAGAGAAAAAAATTATGTCAATTTTAACTATTGTGGCTATTTAAATCATAAAAAAATAATTTGATAGGAGTTATATTTTATTTTTGAATTTTGATTTCATTTTCTAATGTACTCCAGTGGAATTATTTATTTTTCAACTTGCATACTTTGTGCACCTGAAAGTTAGATTTCTGACTTTTTGCCTTCCCTTTCTTTGAAGAAAGATCCTCTAGGCTGTCAGGTTTGTTACTAGAATCCTCCCACCTCTCTGCCTCGTCATCACCAGAAATCATTATTGCTTATTGATATATCATAGTTGATCATATTTCGGTGGTATATGTGATATTTTGATACATATATACAATGTTTAAGGATTAAATCAGGGTAATGGGATATCCATCACTTCAAATATTTATTTTTTCTTTGTTTTGAGAACATTCTGATTCTTCCAGTACTTTCAAATATATAATGAGTTATTGTTAACTATAGCTTTCCTACTTTACTATTGAATACTAGAACTTATTCCTTTTATTTAACCATATTTTTGTACTCATTAGCCAACTCCTCTTCATTCTCCTCTCCTGCTACCCTTCTCAACCTCTGAAAATTATTTTTTGACTCACTATCTCCCAGCTCTTAATAAAATTCATTTGTGTCTGTGGCACTAATATCATCACCCTCCCAGCTCCTGCTTTTTAATTTTATATATGTATAATTTTGTTCTTACTCTATAAATATCCCCTAAGGACCCATTACTTTTCCAACATGTGACTTACTGTCATGTTGCAGAGAGCCCATGTGGTATTAGGAAAAAAAGCCCATGTAAGATGATAAATGAGTTGCAGTTAAAAACACATACTCATATTTCTAAACACTTTCTTAAAGTTTGAAAAGGATGGAATGTAGCTACTGAAATATTAAAAGTAAATTCACACTAGATCTTTTGATACAAAATAAATTCTCCACAGAATGCTGATTATTACACTTTGTGTTTGATTTCCTATAATACACCAAAAGTAGTAACGATGAGTTGCACCTCTTTACAATTCCCTCTAAAGAACTTAAGATATTTTCCAAACAATAACTTGTAATCTTTGTAGCAGGTAAACAGTAAATGCTATTAATGTTAGTAGAGATGAAATAAACTAGATATTCAAATCAATAGTGTGAAGAAAATCAATAACAGAGGAATTGAAAGAAATACAGGATCTGAATCACAAATTTCCTAAAGATTTCCTTGACAGCCTAAAAAGTGATTTTTGCATTCAATAAAGGTTTTATGATTTCCTCAGATAACTTTAATAATCTTAAGGAATAAATTTTTCTCCAAATTAATTTTGATTTAATTAATAAAATATTTAATCCTGGCAGAGCTTGGTGGCTCACACCTGTAATCCCAGAACTCTGGGAGGCCAAAGCGGGTGGGTGACTTGAGCTCAGGAGTTTGAGAAGAGCCTGGGCAACATGGCAAAACCCTGTCAATACAAAAATACAAAAATTAGCCAGACATGGTGGCGCATGCCTGTAGTTCTAGCTACTCAGAAATCTGAGATGGGAAGATCGCTTGAGTCTGGGAGGTCAAGGCTGCAGTGAGCTGAGATAGCATCACTGCATTGCAGCGGAGGAGATACAGTGAGATGTTGTCTCAAAACAAGCAAACAAACAAACAAAAAAACCTAATTCTTATTACATGTAACTTTTCAGAGACATTAGGCAGGATTTCATCAACTCAGTCAATAATGTTATTACTTCTACTTTTCAAAATGTTAAGAATTCTTGGTGTAGAATGTTTTAAACCAATGTAAAGAAATTATTATAATCCTGGATGCTTCTTTCTGATAGATTGTCTAATCCTGCAAATAGAAAGGCAAATACATCAATGGGATAAAAGTTTGACTCTGTTTTCCTAACATATTCAGGAACTAGTCATATAGTGCCCATCTTTGTGTCAGGACTTATGTTTTTGGGCATTTTTCCAAAAATATAATGAATCACGTGGAGCTATAATTTGCAAATCAATTCTCAGAAAAAAAAAACAGTGAGAAGGAAGAAGAATATTAATAATCATTTTAGATGATTTTCATGCAACTTAAAGGTTATTATGTATCTATTTTTCTACCATTTAGTCATGAAGAAAATAATATAAACTTGTTTACTCCTTAAATCTTACCACTTGATAAAATCAAGTTAAATGATTATTCACAATTTAAAGGTATAATAGCCTTTGTACAGTTCCCAGTCCACTGATTGTCCAT
Organism: Homo sapiens; assembly: GCF_000001405.40. Taxonomy (NCBI): domain Eukaryota; kingdom Metazoa; phylum Chordata; class Mammalia; order Primates; family Hominidae; genus Homo; species Homo sapiens. The sequence goes on from NC_000007.14 coordinate 84,460,635, forward strand.
AACCTGGAAACCAGCAATTTGAATTATAATGTACTTTCCTATTTGATCAGTGTTTTACATTTTAACCAAAACTTTATTATATGCTTTGCTTTGCAGTTTAAGATACACAAAGCTTTATGGATAGGCAGAGATTTGTCTCTATTCAAAAACAAGGAAGCTGAGGCTCAAAAAGCAAGTCGAAGGAGCCAGGGCTTCAGCTTCCTGGGTTCAGGTGTTATTTTGTGACTACCTGCAACTGGCACCTAAATACTCCAAAGTGCAAAATTGAGTCACATAGCTTCATTAAAATGCCTATACTCATACACAGAGAGTATTGCCTTACATTTCAAACCAAGATAATTCCCAAAACATGCAGTTGAACAGCAGGGTTATTTATTCCAATACTTTTAAAATACTTTCCTTTCTTTAAAATTATTTATCAGCCCAAATAGAAGCTTAAAATTCATAGGGTATAAGGAATGTTACTTATTAAAAAAAGGGTGATGTGCTTCAAATAAACTTCATCCTAAATGTCATGTAATAGACAGGATCCTCTACACATGGGATGTAAAATGAATTGTCGATTAAATATGTTGATAAATGTTCTTAGTAAGCAGTCTGCAGCTGCCTTATGTTTCAGTCATTTACATCCTTAATTCAAACAGAGTGAAAATTCAGTGATATCCAATGAACGGCCTGCTGTGTCCCTCCAGGAAGGACACAATACCACAGTATAAAGACAGGTTGTAACTTTTTCAAAATTATAATGTTGCCCCTTGAAAAGAACACATTTTTGGTGGGTAATTTTCCATCATGAATATGTATTTTTGATGCATAAATACTTGGAAAGCTTTTTTTTTTTACAGCTGTCTTCCCCTTTTTTAAATAAGACAAACTTCAATGCATAATTTAGGAGACTTATGCATGAAGAGATAATATTTTGTGCATTATAATCAAGCAAAGGCCATGAACAAACAATGGAGATGTCTGCCATTCCCACCTTCCTTTAAATTATGTACAAACCTTTTGGGACCTAAACAATGACATTCAGACAAGGGTTAAATCTACTTTAGAATACATAATCTATTACTGTTCAGCTAATTCATATACTATTAGCATATATTTGATTCATACAGAAAAGAAAAACTAAAGCACATTGAGAAAGTGGATTTGTTTCATGCTTATGTACAACAAATTTAAGATTTATTCTATTCTTCTCTGAATCTTATTTCTCATTTAATTCTACATTGCTCAGTTCTTTTACAATTTATGTTAACCATCTTGGGCATAAAGACTAGTGTTTCAGTAGTAGGATTTGGAGGTTTTAGGAAGATTCTACTGCCTAGCCATATTGTTAAAATGATGTGATATTCAGTCTTTTGAACATCTCTTTTGATATTGAACTATCTCAAAGTCTCTTTTTGATATTTTTAAACGTTGGTGATAGCCAATATATATTAATAATTTCTCTCTCTTCGTGAATATATAATGTCTCATACAAGACTACCACCTTAACATTTATAAAGCATTTTCCCATACAGCATTAAGCATTGACATGTTATTTATTGGATGATTTTTTTCTCATAAAAATATACCTTATTACTGAAGCATTCTGAGGAATTAAAAAAAGATATATGGCCTGATTCTCAGCAAATATTACATTTTCAGGATATAATTACTGCAATATTTTATAGTATAGCATATAATCTAGGGGGCTGAAATTAATCAAGTAACAAGAAATGACAAAATTTTACATATAACAACTGTGACTTCTGGAGTCTTCCCAAGGAATTTTATGTAAAGAAGCCAACATGTTCTTGAAAGAATGTGAGGAACTAATTTTCCATGATCACTGATACTGACACTAGCTCCACAGGATCATTACAGACTCTTATTTTTGAAATTAGAATAGCTATGGTCTGTGCTTTGGTCTGGCTGGTTTCCCTTAAATCACATTTATTCTTCCTCACAGTCTGGCACTCTTAATTAGTCATGTTCCTTAGAGCTTTATTTTGAGTGGATCTGTAATAATAAAGGCCTGTTCTAAAGAAGAAAGTAGGCATCATGTGTGAATGCCTACTCTAGTAGAAAAGTTCACCTTTTTAGCATGTAACCAAACTGGACCCACAGTAAAGGAGATAAGAGGGGTTTAGTGAAAAATTGTCGAGAAAGAATATATACATAGCTATAGCTATAGATAGATAGACAGACAGATAGATAGATAGATAGATAGCAGTTGTTCATCTCACAAGGTCTCAAAATACCTATGATGGAAATCCTCATCTCTTTCCAGGGAGAAACATGTCTGAGTCCTTCTGCCAAGGCCTTGATTACTTATATTTTCAAATGTCCTCTGTTTACTAGCCCTTCCTCTTATAGTTAGAAATTTCTTCCATCTTAATAAATTTCTTCTCATTACCGTAGTCTCTACACATTTTCACTTAATGTTTTACTTCTTTTGAATAACCACCAAAGTACTGAATCAGCAGTTCAACTGTTTTTCATTTTTTAATATCTCTCTTTCCTCAGCACTCAGAATCTACATTCTGCGTGCATTATTCCAAGGCAATAATTGTTCAAAGATTTCACCTGCTTATAATTACTTTAGTATTTTGTAACTATTCTTTTTTTTTTTTTTTTTTTTTTTTTTTTTAGGAGGGACTCTTGCTCTGTCACACAGGCTGGAGTGCAGTGGCGCAATCTCGGCTCACTGCAACCTCCGCCTCCCGGGTTCAGGCCATTCTCCTGCCTCAGCCTCCCGAGTAGCTGGGACTACAGGCACCTGCCACCACGCCCGGCTAATTTTTTGTATTTTTAGTAGAGACGGGGTTTCACCGTGTTAGCCAGGATAGTCCCGATCTCCTAACCTCGTGATCCGCCCACCTTGGCCTCCCAAAGTGCTGGGATTACAGGCGTGAGCCACCGCGCCTGGCGTTTTTTTGTAACTATTTAGCTTTGAAAGCTTAGGCTCCATTGACCCTTATTCCTTAAAACTCGTTTCTGAAGCTTCTTATTGCATTCTTGTCAGTGTTAGAATTTGCTGAGGTTTCATCCTTGGATTTCTGTTTGGAATGACTTTTCTTCTCCCTGTTAAACACCTGTTCAACTTCTGAGAATCAACTAAAATTGAACCTATATAAAACTATCCTGCCGTTCCTCCTTCTGTCCCTCCCACTTTTCCTCCCTCTTTCCCTTCCTTCCTTTTCCCATAAAACATATAACTTTATTCCTAACATATATTACAATATAATTATATACTTTTTCCTCTATATATTTTGTATGCCACTGTTATTCTTCCAGGGACAAGGTCCGTACCTGATATATAGTGAACACTCAGCAGTAATGAATAAAGAATGAATGGATTAATTAATTAATGGTAGGTCCTGGGCATGGCTGATGATCTAAAAATGTTACTCATACTTTGACATAATTTTCAATTCAAATACTCATATTCCTAGTTTTCCTCATCTTTAAACTCAAAAAAATGTAACTAGAATTCCTTTTAAGCTCAGGAGAGACAGAAAACAGAAATTAACACAAATAACAGTTTTCCTTTATTGAACTCTTAATTTTACAACAATCCTGACAATAAAGTAATGCTAGCCATATTTTTTCAGCCTAAGCAATGTTAAAAATGTCATGTGCCTGAGGTTGCATCACAAGCGACTTGCAGAACACAAAGTGGAACTCAAATATTTCATCCCAAAATTGTGCATTAAGTTATAATGAAGTGACGATGTAAGAGAAGGTTGCTTTGAGGAGCTGACATTTAAGCTGAGCTCTGAAGAATGAAGAGCATGCCTGGGAAGATATGGAGAAAGAACGTTCTAGGCAGAAAACAGAACCAATACAACGACCTAAATTAAAATAGCATGTTTAATAGGTTTAAGAATGAAGAAGTAAATGAAAGAACGAAAGAACTCCTTGAGTGAAATAATGACAGAGGTAGGCAAGAAATACATCACTTGGAACTTTAAATTTCATGGTACAAATTTACATTTTCCTCCAATTGCCACAGAAATCCATAAAAAAGTTTTAAGCTAAATAGTAATATGATCTGTATTTTGTTTTCAAAAGATCATTGTAATTGATGCATAGAAATTAGCTTAGAGAGAACAGATATCAAAGACGGGGAAAGTTAGGAATAACTAAGAAATATATGAAAGTCATATTTAGTTGGTTTTGGAAGACAGAGGTATGAGAAAATAAACTTTTCATAATATAGTCGGTATCTTTTTAATTTTCTGAATCAGGAGCATGTATTCCTATCAGTGTAATAAAGAAAGATACGTTTAAAGTAGGAAGAATTGCTTCAAGGCCACGTGACTATACAGAAGTTTTCTCTGGAAACAGGGACCTATGTGAGGAGTAAACATAAAGACCCAGAGAGTGTCACATAAAATCTTCTGTATGGCCCCAAAAGATAAAAAGACTTAAGGATAAAAAGTCCTGAAGATTTTACTCTACCATTATTGAATTCTATAATTATACATAAATGTGTCTGGATTTCATGCAACATTAAGCAAATAACCTAAATTTTTCTAGTATCAGTTTCATGTATATTAATTAGGAAGATTATATACAACCAGTGTTTTCTAATTGATTCTGGGAGTCCTAAATATTCTGTGGGAATAGCAGGATCTTCAAACTGGATAAGGATTGACTATATTGGCAAAGATCCTCATTCATACCCCAATCAAATAACTCATTTTTTTCTCTTGTATATGTTAGACATATAATACCTCATTTGAATGAGGCTAAAGAACATTGAAAACCAACTGCTAAATTATCTGAGGTTACTTTTAGATACAATGTTATGTAGATCTATTATTGACTTTCTTTTCTGATTTTTTGTATTTATTCATATGTGTTCTTCTGTATGCTATTACCACATACATAAAGAAAATTTCCATTTTGTATTTCTAATATAGTCTTGCTTTCTAAATGTGGATGATTATTTCTAACTGCAAATGTTTATCTGAAAATTTCAAAAATATCCCAAACTCAACATACAACAAATAAAATACTTGATTTATCTTTATTTAATTTTTATTACATAAGCCGGAGATCCAGAAAAGTAATTCTATATTTTTCATTTGCCTCATTTCAATGTACATCCTTGGGCCCTATATTCTACCTCCTAAATATCTACCAAATCTACTCTACTCATTTTGACTACTTATTGCCTTCATTACAAGCATCAACATTTCTTTGGAGGGTATTAAATAGCTTCCTGAAGAACTTCTTGCCTCTAATTTCCTCCTCTTCCCCAATACCTTTATCCCAACTTTATCCCAAAACTATCTTCTGTATGAAGCTGCTCATTTTTATTTCCTTATAATGGCTTCACAATTTATCCAGGACACACTTCATACCTTGACATAGCTGACACCTCAGGTATTCATCACTCACTCCATGCCAATCACATTTTTTAATGTGATTGTTTTAATGCAAATCCAGTATTTGCAACAAGTTAGTCTGTGACATAATCAAAATGCAACTTAGTTTTTGTCTCCAACTACTTTTCTTTTTTGTTGTTGTTAGGTTTTTTGTTTGTTTGTTTGTTTGTTTGCTTTTGAGACGGAGTTTTGCTCTTGTCACCCAGGCTGGAGTGCAGCGGCGGATCTCAGCTCACTGCAACCTCCGCCTCCCTGGTTCAAGCGATTCTCCTGCCTTAGCCTCCTGAGTAGCTGGGATTACAGGCGCCTGCCACCACACCCGGCTAATTTTTGTATTTTTAGTAGAGACAGGGTTTCACTACGTTGGCCAGGCTGGTCTCGAACTCCTGACCTCAGGTGATCCACCCGCCTCAGCCTCCCAAAGTGCTGGGATTACAGGTGTGAGCCGCCGCACCCAGCCTCCAACTAATTTTGAAAAATGTTTTTAAATGAAGATTATATTTCCTTATCCATGGAAGCAAATTCTAGCAGGCCTATGAATTCTCTGCTCTTTCTTAAGTAAGAGATAGTTCTATGATCACTAAAAGCCAAAAACACAGCCTCAATTTCGTATTAGCATATAAATCTCCATCCAAGATGAACCTGACTTACCATCAGATCTTCTCCCATATGCCTGCACAGGCCAACCTCAGGCTGGAAGATTAGATTGTACCCTGGACTTGGAAGAAGCTAGAAGTCGGTTGTTTCTACTGGGGTGACTTTGTGAGTGAGTCCCTAGCTGGGATCCTCTCCTACCTGTAGTTCCCCTTTGTGAGCTTGAGTTGATAGAGGTAGCACCACTTTATCCCTCACTTTAATAGGAATAGATGCCTACAGGTTGGCAACTACTCTTTTCAAAGAAAGTTCTTCATAAACTTTCCTCCTCAGTCTTCTCTCTCAGCCCATAAATAGTTTCAAACTGGATTATTAGTGTTCAGAAATTTCCCTCATACATCTGCATGTGATGATTCAGTATGTCAGTTTTAAATTTAACTTTTTCGGGATTTTGGTATGTAGTTGAAGTTTCAATATCAGTATGCATGGTCTGATTTACTCTTTAGCACAACCCCATAAGAGAAAAAAAACCTAATCATCTTTATGCACTTGTGGAAACTGAGGTTAAGATGAATTAAATATATTTTCCTAAGTTGTAGACTTCATAAATGATTAAAGTAGAAATCAATTCCAGGGCCGGGCGCAGTGCCTCATGCCTGTAATCCCAGCACTTTGGAAGGCTGAGGCGAGTGGATCACGAGGTCAGGAGATCGAGACCATCCTGGCTAACACAGTAAAACCCCATCTCTACTAAAAATACAAAAAATTAGCTGGGTATGTTGGTGCACACCTGTAGTCTCAGCTACTTGGGAGGCTGAGGCAGGAGAATTGCTTGAACCTGGGAGATGGAGATTGCAGACAGCTGAGGATGCGCCACTGCACTGCATTCCAGCCTGGGTGACAGAGCGAGACTCCTTCTAAAAAAAAAAAAAAAAAAAAAAAAAATTCAATTCCAGGCACTGGACTTTTGTCCACGACCCTAAACACTGAACTACGACTTCCTATCCAATTTCTTTATGATCTTGCCTGTCTACTTTTAAAGCTATTTTCCCGTTTTCAATGCATCCCAACATCATTAACTTTCTGAGAACTCTTTTCATTTACCAACCTTTCCTCACCTCCTGCCTTCACACAGACCATTTTCTCTACCAGAAACAGCCTTCCTTTTTATTTCCTTTGATAGAAAATACCTAATGAATTCTTGTTCAAGACAACTTTCTTAACCTCACCAAAAGACTTAAAGCATTTCCTTCAACATGCCTGTGTATAACATTATTATAGTATTTTTATATTTTCTAATACTCTGTTTACATTTCTGTCTTGCCTGCTTTAACTCTGGGCCCAAGGCAGAGACTGTTTTTATTTATCAAGCCCTACCAAGCAAAATGTTTGTTGAATGAATAAGTGATAGACTGTACGTAGGCTCCCACTAATGAGATTAAATGCTGCTAAAAATTCTAGAGAGTAAATCCTTGGAAATAATCTAGTCCAACGAACTCATTGAAGAGTCTGGAAAATTTAAAACGAGGGAGGAAAAGTTACTTGTTGGTAGCATCCACTACTGTATTTTTAAATTGGAACACTCTCTTCCCCCCACATTTTGGGATATTTTGCATTTCTTACTTGTGCAAAGTTTTCATTGTGCAAAATCATGTGGCACAATGCCAGTATGCAGAGCCCTTTTCCCCATCTTCCTAAGACCTAGCAGATGTGACCAGGCTGTGCCAGGACCACCTGGGACTCATTCCTAAGTGGTAAGACGGTCTTATTTATGTAATGGTTATAACTACACTCCATAGCAGGTGCCTAGTTTACTGCATTTAAGGTCATTACAAAAGCACTTTGTGAGGTTTTTAGATGCCATAAAGTTTTGATCTTTTTTTTAAATATTTCTGTCACACTAGTCACACCAACAACGTTAACTTGGAATGCTCCTTCTCCTTGTTGTTATCAACTATTAAAGTCAATGGTTTTTGATATCTGTAACTTTTACCACGAGTCCTCTTTAGAGCTAATGTATAAATTCTGAATGAGTAAACTAAGGAACTCATGTTAATATCAGTCAAGAAGAATGAATTAAAAATAGGTGTGAGACAAAGAGATTTCTTACCTTCATGTTCAGTATAAATTGGTGCTAAACGATCTGATTTCCAGGTTTTCTAATAAAGATTTATAAGTATTAGATTTATATCAAGAATAGTTTTTATTTTCTTTTTTTTTTAGAAAAATGATTCTCTTTAGTAAAATACTCTTATTTCATAACAGCTAGGTCAATCTTAGTGTTAAATTTTAGTTTTCAAGTATTGCTTGTGGTTATATAGTTAACTATATATAGTAAAAGCATAGGTGATTTTCTTTTTTTATTTTATTTCAGGAAAAGTAAATAAAATGGTGAAAATGTAAAGAAATTTTTTGATCCGCTGAGGATAGAAAATTGATGATTTCATTTATAAAATAGAATAGGCTGAACTGAAAAGCATGCCACGTGTTTTAAAAGTACTGTCCATGTTTTACGTTTTGATATTTTTGAATAATAAACTGTCTATTCCTTTCTAGGAAAGAGAATGTGTGCTTATGCATATGAATAGCTAAATGATGTAATATTACTTCCTGTCTTTGGGAGACCTTCGCTCTTGTTAGTACTGCTATCCCATTCAACTGTAACCCTGTATAAGCTTTAAAGAATGTTTTTAGTCATGGACCTTCACCTTCCAGTGATTTCATCCAGATATAGTTTCCATAAGTTTTACTGGTTTAAACAGAAGAAAAGAGTAGACCATCTGAACAAAATAAAATGTCACCATTAAATTGGTTTTTGTAGCTTAAGGTATAGTGTAATGATATTTTTCCAGCAGCTGCTTTCACTTGGATTTAAAGTTTAGAGAAAGCTTTGCATCTGATACAAAATAATAAAGTGCAGGTTGAGTTACTTCCTTCTTTTGTGTTCCAAAACATAAGGAATATTTCTGTGCTTTTTCCATGGTGACTTAAGATCATTAAGATTTTTTCTGTTAACCTAAATCATTGTCCACATGTGCTTAATGAAGTATATGTAAAAAATGCTTTTGAAGAAAGTAAAATCATTCTTCTAATGAATATTAAGAGTGACATGGATCAATTTCTATTATTTCTCACATACAATTTACTTTAGTTTACAAAATGGTTTAATTACTAATGTAAAATGAGATGTCTTCGTGATAAATCTATTGTAATTTCCAAGAGGTAAGGAGTTCTTACATATAATAAGACTAATGAACTTTAGTTCCAAATCATGTTGATAGTTGGTTCTATTCATGAAGAATATAAATGTTAGAAAAGTGTAAACACTTAATAAAATATGAAATAATGGTTATGTGTTATTAGATTTTTTAATTGTTAATGAAATAAAAAGGATAAAATGAAAGAAAATCATTAAATATTCTAAATAAAAATTAATTTGGAAATGCTTTTATCAGTTCTATCATTAGTACAGGGAATATGTATTCACCAATTACTAAATTTATTCGTAGATAATCTAACAAAGAATGAAAAGGAGAGAAAACTTGTTAGGAGATTTCTTAAGTGCTTGGGATTCTACTATACTTATAATTTTAAAGAATTTGTAAACCCTCTTTTGTTTCCATTATCAGAAGTTTCAAGGTCAGAATTAAATAAGGAGAAGTGTTTTCCTTCAAAACAATATTCTTAACAAACCTCATTTTTATTTTCTATTAATTTGGCCAAATTTATCTTCCTAATCAAAAATATATTTTATTCTAGATTTGAACTAAGCTATATGATGAAGCATTTCTGGAGACATAAATGATTCTGTGAACAGAAGAAGACAGTAACAGTTGTAAAGCATTGCTAAAACAAACAAATTGATAAAACAAATTCTGGAAAGGGAGAAGATGGGAGAGTACAGACTGTGCCTTTGTGCATGGGTCTTACCTTTGCCGTGCCCTAGTGGTTTAACTTGAAGCGTAATGAATGTAAAACTGTGACTGTCAGTTGATGCTAAAAAAGTAAGGCTCATATACAGATCATGGCTAATACTTACTTACTTACGGTATATAGCAAGGTTTATACACACAAATCCCAGAACTCTTCTCCAATTATCTTTTTTTTTTAACACTTCTCTTTTAGCAATAGTCCTTAGCATTAGCTCTAGAAGAATACTCTAAAAGAATAAAAGCTGGCCCAGCTCAACCTCGTCCCCATTCACCCATTAGGCTGCCTAAGATTTTGATTCTTTCTCCTTATAGACTGTACTTGACATCTTTTTTTAAATAATTGGATTTCACATGTAAAGTTATTTGGGTCAGAGGGAAAAATAGATTATGATTCTCTACTGGCTTGCAACCAGTAAAGATGGGAACTCTGAGAGTAGACAGGAATAAAAGAGAGATGGGCCTATTTTAACAGCTTTCCAAAAAGCAAATACACTGAAATGGGGAATTAGGATATTTTAATTATGTATTTCAGCAAAAACTTTGAGGTTCATAACCAGCAATACACAAATAGACTGCTTTTTGAAGCCTATTAAACACAGACTAAGTCATTTCCCCCCATCTTCTGTAATGTTTCTTTTCTGTCCTTGATCATAAGCATTAATCCTTATGAGTGGCCTTGCAGGTAAACTGATATAAACTATGTTGTTGGTTCCCACACCCCCAACAGTTTTTCTGGTTAGCAATCAGAGTGACTGCTTAACTCAATATCATTTTAAAAGGCTGACAATTTTTCTGATTCATCATATTTATATTTCACTTATTAAACAGACACATAAAGCTTTAAAAGGACGTAAGGACATCCCTAAAGGAGATATTTAAGTATCTTTTTTCAGTGCAAGATTTTTAATGAAATGTTGGAAATGTTGCTTAATGTAATACATCTTGTCTTTCTATGGCATAACTAAACACGTCTATGCGGGAAGAATCAAAAGACCTTGAAATTTACAGTGATGTTAAAAAAGCAAACCTTAGATTTGTGAGACAATAATACCAGGTTTTTGAGGGACAAAAATAGAAATTGTGTTAGCAACCTATCCCAATGGCTTTATATCCTCATGAGAGAAAGAGAGAATGAAAGCGTTATGAAATCTAGACCTGGAATTGCTAGAGTGCAACAAAATCCCCAATTCCCCCAACCAAAAAGAAACAGTCTAAACCATCCATATTTCTGTGCATATTTTTCTTGGTTTCTAGGGAAACATACTTTTATACATAAGGCTGGCTGGGGAAATCTTTTTTTAGATCCCTTATTCCAATACAAATTTGCTGCTTCTAATTGTAAAAAGCACATTAGGATTAGTGGATCTTCAAATCATCTGACTTTCAGGTTTTTTTTTTTCTTTTGGTATCTTAGGTTAATGCCCATGATTATTATTAATTGCATTGACCTGACACTGATCGCTAACCAAATTTAATACAGTTTTAAGAGACTAACTCAATGAATAAATAGTACATATCTCTGAGGATTACTTAACCTAAAATGAGTGTCCAGTCTATAATAAAATATTAATATATATGGCTATAATAGAAAAGCAGGCATGTGTGAGTGTATGTGATTACATGTCCATATAAGTAAAAGAGAAAAATGATAATATTGTTCATGAACTGAGGAAAAGTTAGGTTAGAGTCAAGAGATACAATGACAAACATGAGTTATATTTTCCCACTCCCCCACTCGAACACATGCTTCAGAAATATGCAGAAATTTTGAGGAAGACTTTGGTCTTTCATGGGATGTGGGTTGGGACAAGGAGGAGCTGAGGTAAAGATGTAGATCTTAAATTGCAAGGAGAGCTTAACTAACATCTTCATTATTAGACAAATAGGCTAAAACGCATTAGTGCTTCGTGCTTCGTATTATATTATGTGTATTGTATTTGTATCATGAAGCTCCCAATGTTTGTTCCATTTTTCAATCTGTATTTTGTGTGTCTTGTTTTCTGTTTTTCAGCTAAAACATGTCACCACATTTCTATCAGATACAATGTTCAATGTTTGTCAAATTTCAAAACACCTTTAAATATTTTAGAGCTAAATAAAATCTTCTGTTAAAAGTAAACTTATATGTCGCACAGGATCATATTAGAGGAACTCAATCAGAAAACAATATCCTGCTCTTAAACTGTTAGCATTACATAATTTACCATATTATTTCAGAAGAACATAATCCCACTAAACCAAATCGATCCATATAATCATATCAATAGCTTATGTTAAGGAAAAATAACATTCAAACAAAAGGAAACATTGACATTTAAGAAGTAGTATTACCTCCCAAAGTGGCAGATGATATAATTAACAACAGCTTTTAATACTGCTATTAGTTTAGAGAGATCCTCATGTGACAGCATTAGTGGCATTAAAAACGGTACTGTATATTCGGTGTTCCAAAACTTGATTTTGGAATTAGGTCTAGGTCTAAATTACAGCTCTGCCACTAAATCTAGATAAGAAACTCTATAATTTACTTAATCTCTTTGGAATACCATACATAAAATTGCTTCAGAGAAGTATTGTTTGGGCTTAATGGGAAAAAAGAAATGGTGTGTGTGTGTGTGTGTGTGTGTGTGTGTGTGAAACCTACATACTTCTTAAGTATTAGTTTCCTTCTTTGTTATTTCCTCTGAAGGTTTTATTATAAATTTTTGTGTTTAGTCACTTTTTTATTCTCTATAACTATAACTTTAAAATGAATAAAATTATTCACAGGAACAAAGAATTGGGAAATATTAAAATGTCATCTATAGATAAATCTTATATACTTTATATTTTTGTATTATTATTATTATTATAATATTATTATTATTATTATTTGCGATTGAATCTCACTCTGTTGCCCAGGCTGGAGTGCAGTGGCACATTCTCGGCTCATTGCAACTTCTGCCTCCCTGGTTTAAGAGATTCTCTTGCCTCCTGAGTAGCTGGGATTACAGGTGTGCACCACCACGCCTGGCTAATTTTTGTATTTTTAGTAGAGACAGGGTTTCAACATACTAACCAGGCTGGACTCCAACTCCTGACCTCTAGTTAGCCACCCTCCTCGGCCTCCCAAAGTGCTGGGTTTACAGGCATGAGCCACTGCTCCTGGCCTAAATATTTTAATTTCTATGGAATAGTTAAATATAAATATCTGATAAATCAGACTGCACAGAAACTAACAAAAACATTTTAAATAATGACTAGGAGCCTCAAAATTATAGAAATAATACTAAACATTGGTTCTAAGAGTAAAATTTTAAATTAAGAACATTAAAAAGACAAATATTAACAACACTGTGCTGAGTCAGGAATGAGTTATAGTTCTATTTTCCATACCTTTATTGAGCAAAAGACCAGATCCCTGAGCCGCACATAAGTCAGGATCTTGTTGAAGATCTGAATCAGTTCCAAACCCTCCATGGCTGTGTGTTTTCCATCACTGCAACAATGGCTTTCGGTCTCATCTACTAAGAAGTGGGAGAATCCTAACTCTTTCAATTTTCTTATCTCTCAGCCTTGGAAATAAGTTTCTTTCTGTTTTATCTGACTATAACATAATATTACAAAATTATATGATTAGAGAAAAGAGCTAAACCTGAACTTTGCTAGAGAAAACAGTCTATTATTTTAAGTGAGAAAACGAATAAAAATATGCAAATTGTATTTCAAAAACAGCATTACATAGAAACTTCACCTAGGACAAGCCTTCTTGTGTAGTGAAGACAGACTTTGAAAAAAGCGAATCTGAGGCTTGTTCCTAAGACAGGTTGTTTCCCAGATAGGAAAATTACTGTATGAGAAATTCTGCTCCCCTACGCAGATTGTGTAGTTCCCTCCTTTGACAGTATGTTGAGGACTGCTCCTTTTTTTTTCTCTCTCTCCCAGAGTAACATTTGAAATCATTTTGAAATACTTAATGACTACTCCTCTTTGTAGCAGCTTTTACACTTGACACTGTATCCTCTAGGTAGGTGTAATGAGGAAGATGACTCTTTTTCCCCATCAGGAGTGTAAGAGCTGATGGGTCCAGAGCCCAAAGAAGGGAGCTGAGTTATTACTACCTGACAGTTTTATAGAGTGCTTCCTCTGCAGAGTGTGAGGCACATCATAAACTGTTAATTAATAGCCGGTATTCTTCAATACACCCCTAGAGATCAGAACTGCTGCTGATGATCCTAACACCCTTGCTTCTACCTGAGAAAAAATAAGCCCCATACACAGTAAAAATGGAGAGAAAATACAAAGGACCAGTAGGAATAAATGTTTATATTTAGTCAGAAGAATTGTCTCTCTATTTTAGGGGATCAGAACGCTTTGGAGAAATATTAGAGGTTTAAAAAAAAAAGTGAAGAGAAACTATAAAGAGAGAAAACTATTTAAACGCCTAAGAAAAGAGAAGGAAATAGGATGAAGAAAAAAAAGTGAAACATCTGTGACATCATTCTTCTTACCTAAGGCCTCAGATGGGCTGGAGGCACCAGAGTTCTTGCTCCCCCTTCTCCCCCAACCCCCAAGAGTGCCGGGTCCCAGGAGTGCAGGGGCTGGGAAAGAGGGGAGTGGTACAGCCCATCTCATACTCCCTGGTGAATGTGTGTTTTGTTTTTTTTTTAACTATACATATTCAACCTGAAATTTCCTAACAATAATGGATTGTTAGAGAGAGAGAGTCTGTTTTTGTCGTTGGTTTGTTTTTTCTGTCTGCTTATATGTTTGTTTGTTCATTCTGTGTCAGGGTGTCTGTGAATGTGATGAGTGCTTGTGCTGTTTCCTTGTCATTGCTTTTGGAGTGGTGGTGGTTTGTTTGGTTGCTGTTTTAAGGTTAAAAAATTCATAGGAAACAGATAGAATTTCCTTAAATTTTTAACATTTGAGAAAATCTCAAGTGAGAAAAGCAGCCATACAGATGTTAGAGCAGACTTTATTGGGGTACGTTTTACACGCTCACCTAAATCTATTATATAAAAATATGATCACAAAATGAATTTCAAGGGCAGATTTTTAAAAAGAAAATTCACATAACATGCAACCTGGTGGTTTAATTGGAAAGTCGGAGGTGCCCCTATTTGCTTCACTTTTTTTTCCAGTATAGCATTAGTAACTAGTGCTGAGCAAATAATTTGTTAACTTACAGATGATGAGTACAGGAATATGGGTTTACTTACAGAACTCCAGACTACCTGTGGCACTTGTTTCTGCTTTCATCCCTAGACACTTGGATCAAAGCAAATTATTCCCTATAGAATAGTCTCAACCTTTGCAGTTCTCCCTAAAATGTTTCAGCATTATTTTTTTGGACTGGTTTTGTTGTCATGGTAGACTTAATCTTTAGTTTTCACATGAATCTAGATTAAGATACATCTTAGTAAAACATACAAATAAAGCCAGTTTTGCAGGAAAGATACAATATGCATGATGATAGTTTTCAATTTCCATAAAAGTTTTATATTTCCTTAGAACTTAGAGATAAGATAAAGAAAGTTGTTTAAAAATTTTTTTTGGCCAGGTGCGGTGGCTCATGCCTGTAGTCCCAGCACTTTGGGAGGCCAAGGCAGGTGGATCATGAGGTCAGGAGTTCGAGAGCAGCCTGACCAATGTGGTGAAACCCCGTCTCTACTAAAAATACAAACAAAATTAGTCAGGCGTGGTGGCGTGCACCTGTAATCCCAGCTACTCAGGAGGGCTGAGGCAGGAGAATCGCTTCAACCCGGGAGGCGGAGGTTGCAGTGAGCCGAGATCGCACCACTGCACTCCAGCCTGGGTGACAGAGCAAGACTCCATCTCAAAAAAAAAAAAAAGAAAAGAAAAAATTTTTTTTCAATGTGTCTTAGTTGTCGTCTAAATGTAGAGCCAAACACCCATATAGAGTCTGCAAAATAATGCAGTAGAGTAGTAACACTTGAAGATAGTTTCATTAAATTAGACTGACAGTGCTTAATTGAAACAACATCCAACAAATAGCATGAATGCCTACAACATTGTAGGCATTCAAGTGCCTAAAAGTATATAAAATTCTATCATTTGTAAATACTGAATGTATTGTGTTGCTATTACCTAGAAAAATAAGATATTAAAATCTTGTATTCCTTAGATGTAATAATTAAAACGGATAAATTAACCAAAAAGTGATAAAGTAGAAAAATATAGTTAGAAAACGCACAAATTATTGATTCCAGATTCTTACATTGTAGCTGAAAATCTAACGCAAGAAACAAACTTGCACAATATCAATAATTTGCTCTTCACTGTGCTGACATTAAGTTGACTATTTCTTGTAACTTAGAGACATAACTACGATTATTAATAATTCTTAGCCATGTTCTGAAGAAAAAAATAATAAGATAACATTTTGATCAGTTTTCCAGTATTTAATTAACCTCTTTTATAACACTTAACACTTGTGCTAAAGGAAAGAGACTTATCTTACTTCTAGTTGTTCCTCTGTAGAGTAAAAAGCAGTATGGTAGAGTATATGCCATGTGTTTGTTAAAAAAAAAAAATATATATATATATATATATTTTTCAAAAAAAATCCTTTATATGTTTACATCACTATTTCAACAATTAAAATGACTTAAAATAGGCAGGGTGCTGTGGCTCACACCTGTAATCCCAGCACTTTGGGGTGCCGAGGTGGGCGGATCACAAGGTCAGGAGTTCAAGACCAGCCTGTCCAATATGGTGAAACTCCGTCTCTACTAAAAATACAAAAAAATTAGCCAGGCATGGTGGAGGGCACCTGTAGTCCCAGCTACTCGGGAGGCTGAGGCAGGAGAATCACCTGAACCTGGGAGGCAGAAGTTGCAGTGAGCCGAGATCACAATGCTGCACTCCAGCCTGGGCTACAGAGCGAGACTCTGTCTCAAAAAAAAAAAAAAAAAAAAAAAAAGACTTAAAATATTCTTTGCATAAAATGGTTCCTCAAGCAATGTTGTTTAAATAAATAAAATGTGTATATTGGAGAAGACATTCTGAAAAGATAGAAATTTACTCCCACTTATTTGCTCAGATTCTCAGCTAAATTTGCTTGTTTTTTCATCATCTTGTGTGAAAAGAAGGCCTATGTATAGTGATATAACTAAGATATATTTCCATATCTATAGAGGTGTTGGGGTGTGAGATCTACAAAATAAAGAATGAAACAGTGAATTAATATCCTCTTAGCATATGTCTATCTCTGAGAGCATCCTCTTGGTCATGAATGACTGCATGGTAAAAATGTTCAGTGAATGAAATAAACATACGACCTGCATGCAATTTCCGTGAAAGTTATTGATTTGTTGATTTTCAAAACACATGGTCAATGTTGGCATTTGATTTGCCTTTGTGGAGCTCATTCTGCCTGGACTTTCTTTTGCCAAGTCACCCTCATTATCACCTTCCTCCTATGTTAGGTAACTGTAAAATTCCAAATGAACAGCTAAGCAGCCTGGTGTTGAGGTAACATCTTTTTAGAGTTGAAGTCATCATGTTACACTGGTTTGTTATTCCAGTGAGATTTCACATTCGTTAAAATATACTTTGAAATTTAGTGGTAAGAGAGACCCTCCCCTGCCCTCAGTTGCTCACACCTTCTAGTGTCAGTTCCCTGCGGGACTTGGAGCAAAACTGAGCACTCTGGCAAAGCTAAAAATAATCAGTCCATTAGTATCAAGTTGCTTTCCTGAATAAGCAAGGTGTTCTTTCTACCTCCCCATCCCCAGCCATCCTCCCACACTCTACCTGACCTCACCCTAAGATGTATTATGTTCAGAATACAATGGGAACTTCCCTGACTTACTGTTTTCACCCCAAGGATTAGTCATAAAACATAATTGCATATAAAATTACATACAAAACTTTTTGCAACTTTGTAATGTTATTTTACTCAATTCATGCTTAGTAAATATAGATCTTGGTGAAAATAAAACCATGATATAAAAAATACAATGAAATGGAATATATTAACATGAAATTTTGTTTCTTTCCAATAATGTATAATTATTATTTTATATGGTCTTTGTGAAACATCCAAAAGAGAAAATATAGATTTTATAGACTACAAAGGATTATTTTAAAAGGTAATATTTCAATATAATTAGTTAGATTTATGGGACAAGAATATTAAAAAAAAACAAATCTAAAGTGTTATGTTTAAAGAAAGGAATTTCATTTATTCTTTTTCTCTGTTATAATTTGACATTAGTTAGAAAATATCAAGCAGTCTCTATTCTTAAAATTATTAGTTACTCCCATATGTCTGGAATTAACAATAATTAAATCTTTTTAGCAATAGCTATAGAAAATATTATTTATTTTTTATAAATTTTCTAAGTTAAATAGAAGGTGATATGACACGCCTGTGATTATCAACCTTATATAAAATCATACTTATAAAAGCATCCTCTAGTCCTTCTCTTGTCAAATATATACTAATGTGCTCCTCAAAACAATTTCCCAATTTCTTATCTTTCTTTGGACATCTGGAAAATACATTAGTAACTATAAAACAATTAGGTCAAGTGTTCTTTTTCAAAATATAATTTTTACAGCTATCCACAGAATAATAAAGACATTCTACTAAGATTATTTTTCATGGTAAAAAATGCATCAAGTAGGGTCTGCTTTGGGGGATTGTAAGGGGAGAAACCTGGGGTGCCTTAAGGTTAATGGACAGTGATTAAGGTTAATGGCTAAGTGCTTAAGGTTAAGTGCTATATTTACATAGCTGTCAATTCCTTAAAAAAAGTCTTTATGTCTATCAATCAGTTCTAGCTAATAGCCAATTAAACAGCAAACGGGGGATACAGACATAGGTAAAGACCCTTTAACCTGCATTTATAGGGTGGAATGGTCAACTTTCAATCAAGAAGTACTTATTGAACACCTATTTTGTCAAGGCTGTGTTGCACACAAAAATGTAGACATCATGGCCCCTGTGTTAAAAATGCTTAGTATCTAGCAGAGAATAGAACTAGATATGGAAATACATCAGTATGGGCAGCTATCAAATAAATGACACAGATGAGACATGCTATAGAATTCAGAGGAGGTAAATATACTATGTAGCTCAAGATTTCAGAAAATCGGGAAGGATATTTAAAATAAACCTTAAAATTAATGTTTGTCAAAGAGCTATATTTTATTCTTAAAAAAAATACAATCCCAAATAATGTGAATATACGTCAATGACACGATGTACCATACATACTGCTCTGCATTAAGATGACTTCAACAATTTAACAACAATACTAATAAATAAGAAGCTCAATAGTTAGGAATATGCATATGTTCCTCTTTTTTACACACAAAATCTCAAGATCAATTTAAAGCAGCAGCGACAACAACAACAACACAGCCAAAGCAAAGCTAGGTTAGTGTATTAACTCTGAATCCAATGCAAACTTTCTTAAGCGAGGCAAACCAGAAAAGTTTAAGTTAATATAAGGGTCTAAAGTATCCAGCAGTTATTTAAGGCATACTGCATCACTAACCCTTAAATGACAACATGATTAATTAGATAAAGAAGTTTACTAAAGCAAGATTAATGTTCATTTCTACAAAAAAACACTGAGAACAGTGCTTCATAGATGGAATGGCCTCACTTTCGCTCAATTAGCAACATTCAGGCAGGGCTCTGGGGTTTTTTGTTTGCTTGTTTGTTTTTTTGTTTTAACTTTTTTCACTCTCGCTGAATTTCCAACTGCAAGATTGGATTTTGATTGCAGAAGGAAGGTATACTAGGAATGGAGAATGGAAGGTAAGGGACTGAAGAGAAACACCTGGAATGGAGCAGAAGTGAAAAATAGTAACACAAAAACATTAAAAGTAAATTTTAAAACTGCTCGTAGGGAATCTTTCCATTCAGTAATTTTCTTCCATTAGCTAATTTCAAAATGTTTAGAGCATGAGCATAAAACAGACAAAGATAAATGAGTACCAGAAATTCATAGTGAATTTTAATACATCTTGATCTTCTGACAGCCAGAATGCTGTCCAGGTAGCAGTGCCCAGGGTCAGGGTTGGCCTGAGCAGAAGATTAGAGCTCTAAGGCAAGATTGAAGGGCCCCTTAGCTCCTTGACCTGAAATTCATCTCTTTTTGAATTTTTCTGAAACTGAATATTATCTGTTTTTGAATTGGAAGTGTCCTCTTTTTAAAACGTAACTACCCCCGAAGTGTTAGAACTTTATCAATTTAAGGATGTCCTATCAAACTGTATTTTCAACATACTGTGTCTATGTTTAATCATCTTTGCTCCCATAATGTAGCAGTGAGTATTAAATAGGATGAGTGTTTTGACTTAGGAATTAGTGGGAAAGAGGGTAGCATACCAAAAATAAAATAAAATAAATAAATAAAGACTTTAATAGCATGGAGCTTTATGAATTGGAAACACTGATGTTGGCAGATGTTCAGTATTGGGAAAAATCTAAAGTTAGTAAGAAGCCTATGGCATGAGGGTGACTGTTTTTGAAAGAAAGGTAGAGAAGTTACCCTGATTTTGGAAAAGTGTGAGGAGAGAGTGTCAAAGATAAAGCTCATGACACTTGAAATTTGCTAAGAAGCAATCCTGTTCTTTGTATTTTCTAGCTCCAAAGGCTTCTAAGTAAAGAAAGATACAACTTAATGGTGGGGTTGACCATTGAAAAGATACGAGGGCAAATCTAAATCTTCAGGGACCCACTGGTCTTTTAAATATTTACTACCCTCACCTTTTGCATGTGTCTCATTATTAATGGCTTCTGCTGCAAAGGGTGGGACTAAACCTAATTAAAAATGAACATTATTTCAAAGCTCTTTTAGAGTAACTCTGAGATGTTTTCCTAAAGGAAATAAACCCAAAAATGCTTTAAGTATATTATTCATCCAAATTGAAAGAGCCAGCTACAACTGATGTTGAAATCCACTATCTGTTAAATAAGAAATGCAGTGTTTAATAGAAAAAAGATCTGGCATAAACTTTATATATCTCTGATATTTCCCCAAAATTTATATCTTTGATTTCAAAAGGAATATGAAATAATTGCAATACTTTTTAATTTAAGTAATGCTAAATATGGTTTCTTATGTTTTTTCTTATTACACATAATTCAAGATAAATTAAGTTCACTCTTTTCAGCTAATTATATTGCACCATCTTCATTTTATTACAGTGTCTATAGCTTGACAGAATAAAATGTTACCTTTAATAGAAGACGCAAATTATTATCTATTTAAAGTGGAAGAAATGAATTTTAATTATTTAATTTGTGATAAGCACTCAAAAGAAGACAGCAAAGTTAACTAAAATAATCAATGCCCTCATTTTTCAATATTCAAGTAATGAGGATATTTAATTACTCAAGAGTAGTTTATTAATTTAGTCATGATTGACTGTAAGTCACTAAAAAGCATCGTAAAAGTAAGACTTGTTTAAATTAGTACATATCTTTTTAAGAGTAATATAGCTTCTACCTAAAGTTTATTTTTAAAAGCTTGTTTTATGTCTTAATGTTGACTGATGTTAACTTATCATAAATGAAATTATATATATAGGCATTTGAAAAATTAGGCAAAATATCAAATTCATCTATTTCAAACTTCTCATCGTATAAGTTAAAATATTGAGGTAGTGTTATTAATGTTATTAATGTAAGAAGTGTGTAAGTGCTATTAATGTTACTTGTCCAAGCTCATGTTTATTTTGACTTTACTACAGTAGAATCTCTGAACTTTTGGATAATTCTCTATCATAAAACAATGCACATATAAATGCGTATGTATTTTATAATTATTGTATACCGAATATCTATTCCTAAATGGTAAATTAGTAGACTCAATTTCATTCAACATATATTTAGTGTTCATTAATGAAATATTATTCTTTTGAATTTTTAGTGGCGCTTTTAAATTCTAATCAATAGCATTGGCAATAACATAGTAAATGAAGCTAAAATATTCTGAGACTGTTCAACCCAGGGCCCTTCCTAAAAAAACAGTTGGAGTCAGTCTTTAAACACTGATGATCATAGTTGCAGGAATTTACAAGGTGTTATTTGTCCATTACACTGCCTCCCTATAGAACAGCCCAAGTACCCACCACATTCACATTTTTCCCTTAAGGCATGCTAACCTCATGTGTGGCCTATATATGGCATTATTGTTGTGGCCACAACTGCGGTTAGATGCCTGCATCCTCTTATAGCCTCTTCCCACTGTTAAAGATGGTGCTGCATAACTAGTATCCTGAGTTTTGGTAGAAAATCCCTGCTTTTCTTATGTGAAACCTTATTTATTTCAAAAAGTTACATGATAGACTCAAAATTCTAGTTTTTTTTTTTTTTTGGAGTGTAGTCTCAAACTTTCTTAGTCTAGTCTCATCTGAAAGTACCCTTGGAATGTTTAATTAACAAATCTAATCTCTTTCAGCCCTTTGAAATGTTTACTTGTAGGTGTAGTTTTTAAAGTTTACAGAAAGGGCAGAAATACATAAAATGTTTTGGAAGCAAATCAAAACTATAAATAATGAGAGCTCTATGTGCAATAACTATAACCATAAACTAAAGCACAGGATTGCATTTGTAGACATAATGGGAATAGGCCATGCTAGTCCTTAAAATTAATTTTCTCAAACTCCATGTTAACTACCCATGGATAAAAAGCTAACAAAATTTTCACTTCATGGTAATTTGACCTTTTGTTAACTATCTAGTTCCATTCCCCTCGAAAATTATAAAAATTAGAATGTCAACCACATTACTGGGAAAATTTACCTATAGGAAAAATGACCCTTAACTGCTACAATGAATCAGGACTAAGAAAATTGTAAATACCTGATAGTAACCCTAATGTTGGGTATCCCTGAATATGGTGATGATTTTCACTGGGCAGGCCCCTTGCAAGAATCCTAGAAGCTGTGTCTCTCTTGTTATAAAAGATATCATTTTTTATAGAGAAGGAGGCTTTCAAGCCAGGAATTTCCCTCACTTGCCACATTTTGACCTTGCCTGCTAGCACCTGAGTTGTTGGACTACTTAAGGACTGCCTGAATTGGTGCCCCAACAGTGCTTTGCTAGTGGTCCATGGTTCTTTCTTGTTCTAGCTTCTGAGTAGGGTAGTGTCAGATGCAGCCAATGGTAGTCTTTTGAGTCTAGTTGTTAAGGAAAGTTTTCAAAGACTTTGAGTGGGGAATAGACAACCCATATCATACTAATTAAAAAAAAATCTGGGTCAGGCACAATGGCTCACGCCTGTAATCCCAGCACTTTGGGAGGCTGAGGTGGGCAGATCACCTGAGGTCAGGAGTTCGAGACCACCTGGATAACATGGTGAAACTCGTTTCTACTAAAAATACAAAAAATCAGCCAGGTGTGGTGGTGCACGCCTGTAATCCCAACTACTCGGGAGGCTGAGGCAGGAGAACCACTTAAACCCAGGAGGCGGAGGTTGCAGCGAGCTGAGATTGTGCCACTGCACTCCAGCTTGGGCAACAAGAGTGAAACTCTGTCTCAAAAAAAAGAAAAAAAAAAAAAGAAAAAATCTGGGTTTTGTCACAGTCAAAAAGGAAAGTTCATAATTTCCAAAATGGACTAGTTAAGAAAAAAACAGTGTTGATAATAATATAGTACTAAAAATATTATAATCTACCTAGAAGACCACTGTGTAAGGCTGTGGGTAGCTTTAACACAGTTTAAAGTTACACATTAAATAATTTTAAAAATGTAGTGTTCTTATAGTAGCAGAGAATAGCAAGTGGTTAACCTAAATGTTCAAAACATTAAAAGACTGAATAAAACAGGAAACAAATATTTTAAATGCATATATTTTTCTTGTTGGTGCATATAAAAATTTGTAATAAGAGCTTTTTTTTTAAATTATAGAGTATAGCTATTTAAACAAAATAAAAATTCTTCTTTTTAATTTAACAAACCTATCACTGTGGAGTATCTAATAGGAATCCTGTCAAGTAGACGGTTTTACTTATGCATGCACATATTCACTTGTTCACTTTCACACACACACACACACACACACACAGAGAGCAAGTTTTTATCACATTGTAACACTGAAATTAATAAATGTACCTTAACATAGGATGTAAAGATTTTATGTAAAAATATAGCATTTCCGACTGGTGACATCATCTTTAGCATTATATCCTCATAAAAGTGCCAAAGTAGAATACATTCCAAAGAACGGCATTACTTATTTCTTGAATCAAAATATGATGGCAATACTGATGCTCTTAAGACACTTATGACTCATATAAATAAAGTATGAATGCTCATCCTTAAGGATCATAATATATTGAAGTAGTACAACCTCTAAATTCCAGTCCAAAGGAATGGAACTATAATACAAACAGTTTTTATTGCAACCTGCACTGCATGTGGGCATCTTGGCATGTTTGTACATATTTACTGCTTTTATAATTGGATTAGTCATCTGAATAAATTTCTGTATGCTTAATCTTCTTTAGAAAGTCAAGAAAATAGAACACATTGCTCATTTGTAAAATGGAAATGACAAATCTACCTTTATTTGTTAATATAGAGATTACATAAGATAATGTAAGCCACATGACCATAGTAGTTACTGCAGTAATGTTCCTTTTCCATATTTACTAACATATATTTTTAATATTTTAAATAAAATGTAAATGTTTGCACATAAACTAACAGTACTCAAATTTTCATGTACAAAGTAGATATTTGGCCGCAGTATTGGATGTGATAAAATATACTTCCATCATTATTTAAGAAGTGAAAAAATCAAAGTTTTTTGGTACTATTTCATGGGGTAGCTGAGAGCACACATGAAAATACATGTTAATATTTTATGTATTTTTTTTTTTTTGGAAGAAAAGGGTCTTACTCTGCCACCCAGGCTGGAGTGCAGTGGGGCGATCATAGTTGATTACAGCCTCGACCTCCTGGGGTCAAGCAATTTTCCTGCCTCAGCCTCCTGAGTAGCTGGGACTACAGGCCCACACACCACTCCTAATATTTATATTTGCTTTTTGTAGAGGTGGGGTTTCACCATGTTGCCCAGGCTAGTCATGAACTCCTGGGCTCTAGCAATCCTCCTATCTAGGCCTCCAAATGTGCTGTGACTGCAATTGTGATTTACTGCTCCCGCTTTATGTGAATTTCAGACATCCTTACCAGTACTAACAATTTTCTCTACTTTACCATGCTTCAAACCAATATTAGCTGTGATTGAATGGGTAAACCAAACTTAATTCAAAGGTTTAGTATTGTAGGGCTTACTTTCAAGTAATAAAGATTTGGGGCTCCCATTGTTAACTTTGTTTCATTTCTGAAATTGTTGAAAACTGAGGTACAGAAGAGGCTCATTTAGAAATAGTATTAATCAAATATGAGTCTTTCATCAAGTTTACAAATTGGGAAAATTTTTGATAAGTGTTTTCTTGGCCAGAGAAAGAAATTTTGATTTTTTGGTGAAATGGAAATTAGACTCAGAAAAATGTTTAATAATTAAATATCATTAAACATATTTTAATCTAAAGGGGAAAATAGGCATTATGGTTTACGTGATATAAAACAAATTACAGGCCAGGCGTGGTGGCTCACGCCTGTAATCCCAGCACTTTGGGAGGCTGAGGCAGGCAGATCATGAGGTCAGAAGATCAAGACCATCCTGGCCAGCATGGTGAAACCCTGTCTCTATTAAAAATACAAAAATGAGCTGGGCGTGGTGGCATGTGCCTGTAATCTCAGCTACTTGGGAGGCCAAGGAAGGAGAATCACTTGAACCAGGGAGTTGCAGGTTGCAGTGAGCCAAGATCGTGCCATTGCATTCCAGCCTGGCGACAGGGCGAGATTCTGTCTCAAAATACAAAAACAAAAACAAATACAAAAAAACAAATTACATCAAAGATTTATTCCTACACCACATCTAAAATATTTTACAAGTCTACCAAGCATATTACGTGAAACATCATATATATGGCTTGGGCATGCTCCTATATTCTTTTCTATCTTATAGTAACTTCTCAGAATTCCTTATAGTACTTTACAAATAGTTTTGCAAAGTTTATTCACGAGTATTCACACAAATGTTGCATGATGGATACTCTGTACATTTTGAAAACAAGGCAGTGATTGTCACAAAGAGGACCTGAGCCCCAGTGTTTTTACTTAATGCTCACTCTTCTCTTTATAGAGAATTTTGGATTTGTGAGTTAGCCAAATATAATTATAAACACAGAAATGCATCGCATAGTTAATAGCATTTATTTCAGGAAAATAAGTTTGAGAGTGACCAAAAATATTATTTGTCAGAAAAACATCATTATGTAGCATGTAAAATTCAAGCATATTAGTGCATCTCACCAGAAAAAAAAGATTAAATCCTCAAGCTTTTAATAGAAGTACAGATAGAATACTAACGATTCCTCTCTGTCTCTCTCATACAAATTTGAAATGCACAATATTAAGTAATAAAACAAAAGTGAAGTTACTACTAATTAGATGCCTCTTTGATTTCTTGCTTTAGACACACCTGCAGCTAACTTCTACTGTGAACATATAGCAATGATAATATTAAAAATTTATACCCATGCTTAAAAAAATGGGTATTTTAATGGGCCTCAAATGAAAAGAAATATTTAATATTAAGCAGGGCTAGAAATGAAAAAATATTAGATTTTGGCTGCCTGCAAATCCAGACCCAGGTGGCCAGGAGTCTAACTCATGTAGGGAAACTGGGACCAAGAGCCCCCCATGCAAAGGGAAGACTGTGAGTTGGGTTGATTGTTGTGACTGCTGGCTGGGACTTCAGGTTGTTTGAAACCGTGGAAGTAAGCAGAGACTTCTACTCAGACTACCCAGATCTGGGTAGAAGTGTCCGCCAGCAATGTCTAGGTCTGCAGTGTTCCCAATATTTCCCTGGAACATGAGCCAGAAGCAATTAGCATAAGAATTAATTCTAGACTGGTTCCCTGGTAAAAGGCTTGTAATGTCAAGTAAGAACAGAAAGAGGGAGAGAAACACTTTTCCACTTAAGATGAACTTACAAATAAAAATAAAGTAGTTACTAGATAATTCAAAAAGGATTTATGAGGATAAGATTAACTTCAAGAAGTTAACCTGTGGATCTCTTTGACTAATGATAGTGATAGAGGAAGTCCACTGTTTTTAAGTAATCATCAATCCTCAAGGTATTTAGAGCTTTCAGATCCTGTCACCACAGATTAATTTTTCCAGGATCTTGAGATTACTTTTTAAAAATCGTTTTTTTCTCTTTAAAAAAAACAAGAATAGTCTATGACTTTATAAATGCTGATCATATTTAAATATCTTTTATACAAACCAAAGGAAAAATGAGAATTAAAGGAACATTTCTACCTACTCTTTTGTAGAAAATGAGTTGGGGTTGCTCAGGTTTGAAGGAACTTCCTCATGTTCATTCCATTTGTCTTGCGTAAGTCTGCTTGTGTTTGTAAAAGTAAACTATGTGTTGGTTTAATAATTATAATAATATGGACTGTTAAAAATAAAATGAAATCTCTCTTTAAAATGAATATCCTGTGTTTATACGGGAAAGGATAAACCTATAATATTAAAAATAAAAGATATAAGTTTTTTTGTCATAAATATTTTGTTTTTATTTTCTTCACAAAGAATCTCCATCATAGTGATGTCTGTCTTGAGAAGAATGTTTTTCACTAGAGAGACATACCACATATGTAGGTTCTAGGAAATTATATTTTAAATGAAATATTACAAAGAGGTGTTTTCCAGCTATGTTTCTTCGTATATACACACACACACACACACACACACACACACACATATATATATGTACTCCCCACAGATAAGAAGAAAATTCAATTGCCATTCTATCTTTCAAAAAACAAATACCCAGATAGTCCTATTGAATAACTGAGGCCTTAAAGTCTTTGAAAGTGGTTGACAGCTCATTTTTTTTTTCACTGCTTTGCAGGCGGGAATGTGTTTAGGTGATTCTCATTGAAAGACTATTGTGATTAGAGTGATCTCTGTTTGTCAGTCAGCCAGACATCGCTGGGTTGGAAATACCCTGAGGAGACAAACTTTCCAGAGTCCCACTATTAACAGGTGTGGACATGTGAAATGAGTGAGAGTTGAAGGGTCAGCTCTTCCTCACATGTCAGAAATATAACTGCAACTCCTTCTTTACCTATAGTCAAACCTCTGAAAATACTGGGGTAAAGTATTGAGTGATGTAACCTGAAGTGAGATCATATTCCTTGATTGACAACCAACTATTTACGCTTTATTTGATTGGGCATTCCAACAAATTCATTTTGGAATTTCTTTCTAAATTCAAGTAGTCCCGATAAGATGGTCAGAGATAAAGCTAACTTTCCACTAATAACGAAGTCACCTATTAGAGAGGTAGTACAGTCCGGTGGTTGGGGTAGCATCTTCCCTCAAGCAAAGTTAATTTGAACCCAAGTTACACTATTTACTACCTGTATGAGTTTGTTCTCACACTGCTATGAAGAGATACTGGAGACAGGATAATTTAAAAAGAAAAGAGGTTTAATTGACTCACAGTTCCACATGGCTGAGGAGGCCTCAGGAAGCTTACAATAATGGCAGAAGGCACCTTTTCACAGGGTAGCAGGAGACAGAATGAGTGCTGAGCAAAGAAGGAAACCTCTCGTCAAACCATCAGATCTCGTGAGAACTCATTCACTATCAGGAGAGCAGCATGGGGGAAACCGCCCCCATGATTCAATTATCTCCACCTGGTACCGCCTTGACACATGGGGCTTATTACAATTCATGGAGAGACTTGGGTGGGGACACAGAGCCAAACCATATCACTATCTGCATGTCACTAAGCAAGTCCCTTAACCACTCCGTTTTCACATTCGTAAATGAGAATAGGAACACTATCTACTTCATTGGACTGTAAGGATTAAATAAATCATGGCATGTTTAGAGCAGTTTCCAGGAATTTATTTTGTGAAAGCCCACTAATGTTATTCATTAGAACTCTGGAAGTAGTTGGCTTCCAACTCAGAGCAAAAAAATGGAATCTTGAATAATGGAATAATGGGAAGATGTAGCTGTGGCCATTGACAAAATATGACACATCTAGGAAGCACTGTGCCCATTTTACAGAGTTACTAGATTTTTCTCTTCCTTGAGTGGCTGTTGAAAGCTCCTCTTGTGCGATGTTGGCGTTCAAAATTGAACTCCTTTTTTCTACACTTTCTATCTTGATGTCTAATATAATTCCTTCACTATAAGTGAACATGAAGTTATTAAGTTATGTAAGTGTTGATATGTGGTTAAAAAAGAAAATTTATTAGAAAGAGAATATCCCTTAGAATAAGTTGATATATCCTGGGTCTTCTAAAAATTTTCCTCTAAGCATATAGCAATTTTCATATGTAATAAATACAGTATATATACTTATATTGTTTGTATTCTTTAATTACTTATATTGCAATCTTATTTGAAAACATGTATAGATAAAGCCACAGGGACACAAAATGCATAATACATGAAAAAATTGTAAACATATTTAAGGACCACATAATTTATTCATTACCTTAATTTTATAGGATATTTATTAACAAATTATAATTCCAGTAAAAAGAACCATTTAAAAAATGTAAGTTGGATATAACCACAATGCTTTTCCAGCAAAAAAAAAAAAAAAAAAAATTAACTGGAAAGACTATAACACCACCACCATTACAAATCTTCTTTGAGGTTGTCACTAGGATTAAAATTACTGTATTCATCCTCACTCAGCTATACTTGTCAATGATTTTTCGCCATTAGTGAAAAATCATTATCTTTTTGAGTTACGTGTGTATATTCACTTGCTAGCACATAGCTAGCATTTAAGCATAATAAGCCTAGGTTAAAAAATCAGACCTTTTTTCCAGTCTACTTTTATCCATACAGTGCCTTTTAAAAGTTCATTAAGTTAACTGAAACTTAGGCAAAGGCTATATATTCCATTTGGATAAAGAGTAAAATTTTCATTCACCAATTATTAGCTTGATTGATTTTTTCACTTAGTTGTTATTTCTTTCTTTACTAAACCAAATATACTGTTGTGTTGCTATCATATAAAAGCAACCACAATGCATTAAAAATGTGCAATATAATACTACTTGATTTTTATTACACTTTGAAAAGCAAATGGAGTAAATCAAGAAGAAACAAATCTAAATGCCATGCTGAAGTGAGGTCCAGCCTTTGAAATCAGCTTCCTATTAATCACAGTGCTGACCTTTTCATTAAGGGGCACTTGTTGAAGTCATTGACACGGTTACGGCATTCATATGTGTGAACTGTACTCTATGGCATTCATGTGCTGGGGAAGGCATAGTGAAATTAGAATCTCTCCCTGTAGGGGGTAGACATTGACCGCTATTCAATGCCAACGATTGTCGGTTAAAGTATTTCATGAAGAATGACTGTGAAACTCCGTTTACTCCACCATCAGTAATGTCAAATGCAATTCTTAAAGAAATATATTTAACTAGAAGTAATTAATTAAACCTCTCATAGCAGCAACTTTATCCAAGCTAAATCATTTCTGAATATACACAAAGGAGTCATCAGGATTCTACCGTCATGGCTTTTAAATCATCATTTTCAATGATGTCCATCTATAATAGTTAGAAAATAAAAACAAAACATTGGCCGATGGGGAATTATTTAAACAGTGCAATACTGTTTTGTCTAATTTTGCCTAACTACTCTACATATGTGCATTGCCTTTTGAGATGACAATGTCTTCCAGACTAATTTTTCAAATTAATAATGGTTAAATTTAAAAAGATCAACTCAAATGACTATTACTAGATAAGAAATGCAGAAAGGTTTTCTTGCATTCTCTTTAATCTGATCAGCTTTGTGCAGTGTTTGATGGATTAATTCAGAAATCATTAATAACTGGAATCTTTGGTAGGGCATATGTTCTATGTGTTTATTTCTTACATGAAGCATCATACATTTGAGCAGCAAACACATTCTTTTACATTGGCTGACATTCCACCTGAAAGTCCACCACAGTTAGCCTGTTAACACAATTCAGAATATATGGTAGAGTAGTAAAAAGATTCCCCATAGCCAAGTAAAAATCAGAGTAGGGGGCTCAAGGAACAAGGTTGTACTTAGATCAAATCTGAACTTCAAGTTCAAACATAGTTTAATGGTGAATCCAAAGTTGTAAATGCAAAATAAACGCAATGTGAAGACTGCTTTAAACCAAGCATGAAAGACTAAAAAGTCAAAGTTGAGATTTTGTACATCTGGTTTTAATATATCTTCTTATGTTATTAGACAAATGACCTTTTGTTTTGTTTTGTTTGTTTTAAATACTCACTATCATTGTCATTGCTGCTACAACCTAATACTCTTTTAGAGTTTTTAGTGTCACTTCTCTAGTAAGAGATCAAGCTATAGAACAGATTTGTTAGGCAAAAATTATACGCAAATTCCTCACATTAATGTATGAAGAGTAACGTAGCAGTATAGTTATGCATAAAAGTGAAATCCATTTTCAAGAAGGGTATGTGCTTTAAAGATTTTTTTGTGTGTGTTCTCGAAACTGACAAAATACTTGCAACCATCATTTTTGACAGTAATAAAGGACATTTCACCCAGAAGTAGCAGTTAATACGGCAAAATACAGGATTGAATTAACAGTATTATTAGCACCACATTTCAGTTCCGAGACCTTCTGAATGAGGAGTCACTTCAGGAGCATTTAAGTATTAATGACAGTGCCAGGGCATTGTGCAAAATGAAACTGGAGAAATTAATGGGGTTATGAACATAAGCTTTGTCCTAGTTCACTTTTGCACAGTCTTTAGAGGATTCCCTGGGAGTAAACACCCGTAATTAATTCCCAAGTAAAAGAAAGAAAGAAAATTTTTTCCACTTACTGCCTTTGTTGTCCTTTGTCCATGCGTTGAAGTCAAAGGGCTGTTCTGTTCTTACCTAGCTCCAGGTTGCCCTCCAGATTAGGGATAAATGTGAGCAGCAAGAAGCATGTTCACTTTGTAACTGTACCAGGAGCAGCCCATCACACTGATGCTAGAGAGCCAGTCAAGACACAGCACTAAACTTCAGCATGAGAGCACAGAATCTATTACCCCTGAGGCTCTACCATTTCACCTACACCTGGGCGGATCTATCAGGCTTCATCTCTATTAGAGCTATTTGACTCTG
Source organism: Homo sapiens (assembly GCF_000001405.40). Classification (NCBI taxonomy): domain Eukaryota; kingdom Metazoa; phylum Chordata; class Mammalia; order Primates; family Hominidae; genus Homo; species Homo sapiens. The sequence continues at coordinate 84,492,746 of NC_000007.14, forward strand.
TGGTTTAAAAGGGAGGAGAAAAAAAAAAAAAGGAGGCTTGCCGTTGTCACACTTGTTTCCTATTAAAGAGCCTTACGGTGGATTGAGTAATTGTGTACGAAGGTAGTCTGGCTGGCAGATGTGTGCAGCCCCAGCGGAGCACTAGATTCAAGGCAGATGGGTTGTACCAGGGCGCAAACAACATTGAGAGAGAGGCGTGATTAAAACAGCAGGCCTCTGTTTTATAGTGCTGGAAGTGGGGTAGCATTAAAACTCCTAGGAGACAGAGTTTCCCGAATGGTATTGCTCTGTAGCAAAGAAAACAATAAATTCAATAAAAAAGAAAGATTCTCAAACTACAATAGTTATAGAGATATTTTTAATAATCACTTTAACTATTAATGAGGGGCTAAATAATGCACCCTTTCCCCAATACCCTAACTGAACTTAATTAAAACTACTCAATCATGGGTCATAGTGGGTTATTGATAGTGTTAACGTGATGGATTTGAAACAGATCCTTCATTCTGCTGCATAAGCCAAGTTATCTTTTTAATCTGAATTAAATTGCTTTAAGGAGATTTACACTGTCAGGCAGATTGACATTCTGCAATTGGACATTTATTTTAATGTTCTTGAAGCCAATTTTTATGGAAAATGTCATCATCTAGGTATTTCTGTATATTACTTATTATCTCAGGCACCTTAACCCGTGAAAACTTCAGGGTTTTCTGTGTCACCACTCTTTTTCACAAGAAAACAAATGCATAAGTAATCAGAATGAGTATAATTAACTTCCAAAAATCAGGCCGTTGGATCTATTTTCCTTTGTTGCTGAGAGCTATTTTCCTGTGTTAAACAGTGTGCGACTACTATTGTTAATCATGATGATGATGGTAACTGAACAGTTGCTACATGACAAACTATGTAATGAGCATTACACACATCATCTCTTTTGAGTCCTACAAGGACACTGTAAGGTCAATATTACTATTATTATCACTTTTTTTTCTTTTTAACAAATGAGGGAGTCTCTGAGAGGTTACTGTACCCAAGGTTATGGTTTTGTTATGGTTGGAAGCAGGATTCAATTTGATTTGCCTCTAGAATTCTCACTCTTCCCCATGTCAGACAGTCTCCATGAAGAATAATTTTTATCCAGCACAGAATCAAATGATTATCATTGATTTATTTTATAAGAAAATAAAAAATAAACTCCTATTCATATGGATAATTATAATTTAGAAGTGGATACTCTAACTTCATGTGCCCAAACTGGTAGTAGAAATATAGTCTAGTCTACTGATAAAAGTGTAGACTCGTGATAGAGGGACCCATCAAGTTAAGAAGTACCTAAGCACTTATATTTTTAAAATAGTTTATTAGAACTTTTTTATAATGAAAATCTCTTGAGCAAATGTTTCTTTAATATCCCTAATTCCTTTGTAGCAAACTTGAAGAAATAAGTACAGGATTAAACATTAAAAATTATCAATCAATTTTCCATGTTTCCATAAGTTGTCCAAAATTAATTCATTGTTTGATTAAAAATTTGTATCATCCTTTTCAGATTTTACCATTTCTCTGTAAATAATTACTTTATTCTAACAGAAGCTTATTTTACTCATCAGTAAAATAATATAATTCAGCAGACTAAAAAGAAAAAACCTCATTTCACTCCTGGAAACAAAAAAGACAAGAAAATAATTATTTTAAAAACTATGTTAAACTTCAATAAAAACTGTATTTAAATTATGAGACTAACATTTATTGAAAATTATAAAAGTTAAACAACAATATAAAAGTCTGATTTTTAAATAATTGCATTGTCTTATTCTGTATGGCAGATCACACTAGCATACATATCTTTTGCCCTCTGATTTTGGATATTTACAATAATCACACTAAACAATTAGAAAAGTGTTCTCTCTGGTCATTCCATCTAAAAAAAGGAATAAGAACAAAAAAGCTTCAGAATGCAAAATCATTTTTAAGGGAAATATTAAAAGGTTAGAAAGGAGAATATTAATGTGTGGGAAAAATGGGGATAAGATATGAAGGAAAAGACAGATGGAAGCAAAGAACAGAGATAACAGAACCCAAGAAAAAAATAAATAAACAGATTGTGATTTCAGTGTACCCCAAGGGGCCAATGCAATTTGAAGAGATCTAAATGGTTCATAAATATCATTTGTATATAGCTATGGTATGAGAAGAGGGTCTCTTTAACAATGTCTGGTTATTTTAGAGAGTGTTTGTGTATAAGTGCATGTAATTTCATATCCTAAAGACATTACAATCATGTGTTGATATTCAAGTTTCAGAAATCATACCACCGGATGAGCACAAAATTACCTGTAGAAATATTATATAGGAGAGCAATTTATCATAACTTTCTTTAATTGGATTTAAGTAAATTAGGTTGAAGTTTCTGGCTATCTGAACTCTCTGTTAGGAAATTTAGCATTTTCAGATTTCAAAAATTTTCATTGGAAAAACAAACAAAACTTCTTCATTTTCATGGTTTCACATAATTTGCTATGAAGACTTTCATTGTGAGATTTTTTTTCTGTCTTAGTTGAAAATGAAACATATTGGAAACATCCCAAGAAAAAAATATCCTGGGGAGTTTCCAGTCTAACTTTTATACCAAAGTTTGGATAAGATTTAGAGAAGCATACAGTTTCTTTGTTTTGATTTATATCTAGGTTTTTTTTCCCAACCCATCATACAAGCCTATTCACAAGGGGGTCCTCTTTAACAAATGCTGTCTAATTTATGAACTAATGATTCAATGCTTGCTAGTTTTTCTTTTACCTGTAGGAAGGCAAAAATCAAAATTTCCCCAACACACGTCTAGCTGGCCACATCATTCCTGATTTGGACCTGCCTTCAATTGCATATGTTTATTCCCATTCTATTAACTCACAAATTCCCCTTTAGTTTTACTAATGGAGACTATGGCAGTGGTTGTGGTGTTTGTGAAGTTGTTATTAATAAGATTCTTTTAACAAACTTCAATATGGTCTGTCATTTCCAATTAAATATCAAAGTAGTTTGCTGAAATGATGTACAAATATTTCTCCTTAATAAATATGTTCAACTATTTATGATATGTCATTGAAACAAAAATTTAGGGCTCTTTTAATAATCTGGTTTAAGACTTGATTCTCTTTTAAACATGTGTCTTGCTTTGATCAAGCTTTTGAAGTCCAAATGGTAAATAATTTTAGTTCCAAGTCACTTATTTCTGAAATTAAGGTAATGGAAAAACAGCATGATGATCCCTAGTATCAAACCGGCATTTCTGAAAACAATGTTTCAGCTCCTAAATGTAAACACACTTGATATAAATTCCTTTAAAAAAAGTTGCTGCTGGGTGTGGTGGCTCACACCTGTAATCCCAACACTTTGGGAGGGCAAGGCAGGTGGATCACCTTTGGTCAGGAGTTCGAGACCAGCCTGACCAACATGGAGAAACCCCATCTCTACTAAAGATACAAAATTAGCCGGGCATGGTGGTGCATGCCTGTAATCCCAGCTACTCGAGAGACTGAGTCAGGAGAATCACTTGAACCCAGGAGGCAGAGGTTATGGTGAGCTGAGATCATGCCATTGCACTCTAGCCTGGGCAACAAGAGAGAAACTCCGTCTCAAAAAAAAAAAAAAAAAATCTTTCCATATTTTTATAGTTTTTCACTCCACAGTTTCAATTTTGTGCCTCATTAATCCAAGGATATAAAACATGTGGAGTTCCTTAAAGCACAGGGTTCACTGTCTCTTTTACAGATATATCTTCTTCCCATTGTGGTTTATTGGAGTGAGATTGTATGTAAGGTGAAGATAAAACAGAGTTTTGTGTTTTTGCTGATTCACCAGCTTTAGAAAATGGGACTGAAATGTTACTTTACATTGTTGTTGATTCACCAACTCTAAAATATATCATGCAATGGGCAGAGAAAGTAAAAATTTAGGTACCAGACCATTAATATTATATTAATATTATGATATTACATTAATAGGATAAGCTATCAATAGAAAAAGATTGGATAGGATTGTAGAAAAATATATATTTCTATGAGCAGATCTGATAAAACTGTACAGAGGTTTGCCAGTTGGGTATGAATAATCAAGAATTCAACAAATATTTGGGGTAACTACTTTTATGAGGCTAGGCATGATTTATATAATTTTATGATATGAAAATATTTCCAATATTGGTTCTCTTCTCCTATTAGGTTGGTGCAAGAGTAATCACGGTTTTTGTTATTAAAAAGTAAGAAGTTTTTTACAATCTAATATTAGATCTTAAATATCATCCTAAAAAATAATCTGGCCAAGGTAAAAACATTCTCTCCAAAAATTTTATTACAATAAAAATGCTAGTGATCTAGGAGGAGGATAAAATGCACCAAATTAAATATTTTTAGAACTTATTATTTATTCTCTGTATTAGTTTAGGACATTAGCTAATGGTAGTCTGGTGTAGTATACTTTTCAAAGGACAAGCTGCATCAGGGAATAATTTCTTTGGGGAATATGAATAGTATGGGTTGTCAAAAGTGGTACAGGTGGTGTGATCAAAAAGGCTCCAGGTTGAAGTCCTTAAAACCATAAATCCCCATGAGGTGACCAAGCCAAGGAAAGTTATTATTTAAAAAAGATACATTTGAGTGAGTTCAAAATTAGGCAACTTTTGGGGGTGGGGGACAGAGGGATAGAGGAAAATTTAAAGGAAAGAGGTCTCAAAAAAGTTCTGCCAACTTTACAATTTTGCCTTGGCCAACACTGGGAAATATGTAAGATAATATGTAAAATAACTGGAGACTATTTGTGAGCCAGTTAATCAAAACACTAAAACTCTTGCATAAAAATTATTTTACCATGTTTTCAAGATTTGCTAGACAATTTTTAATTTAGCTATCACTGATACATAACAAGGCCTAATGTCTGACCTCAACATTTTACAAACTATTGGGGATGAAAATATACACATAAAACAAATTAAATAATATTTCATTTCAAGAATGATATATACAGCATATTTAATAAAAAGTCAGAAAATGTGAGTTCAATATGGATTGCATGAATTCATAAGTACTCAAGGACTTTGGTTCAGAAATGATGACAAAAGTTGTCTGTGTCATATAGAAGGTTTAATTTGGGGAATCATGAATAAATGTGGGAAGGGCAAGATTGTGTAGAACAAAGAAACACTGTTAGAAGTTTTCTGGTAAGTGTCTGGCATGATAAATATCATGTTTGGGAAAGATTAATTGGAAGGGATTAGCAAAATGCAAGACTGCTTTTGAGGCTGCTGCAATAACTCAGGCACTGACCTACTTTCCTGATTTGATTGTCACTTTTCCCTCAGCATAAAAGTATCCCTGCAGACTGATACACTCTAGTCCTTGTAGCATTCCATTCTCATTTCTACTCCCATGTTTATGCCACGTGCTTGCAGTTCACTGGAAAGGATAGGATTTAAAAACAGTCTTTGACCCAAATCCTGATTCCACCACTTAATAGTAATTTAACTTCCCTAATCCTATTCAATAAATGGAATTGCAACACCTACTTTTGAAGTTGAGCTGTGATGAGTTCTCTAAACTGGAACTTTATAAAATGAATTAAATAGAAACTTGAGGTAGTTAATTAATGTTTTTATATCTCCAATTTCTAATATGATGACTAGATTCTAGTATAGATGTCCAAAATATCTTTTCAAATGTTTGTGTATCATAATATTTTTCATAGTATTTCTCAAAAATGCAAAAAAAAAAAAAAACTTACCAAGTTTAATTTTGTAGAATTACCAAATGGACTTGGTTAATGATAATGATATTAGAAACAAACAAAAAAAGTCTTATATTCAAGAGAAATTTCAAAGCTAAAAGCAACAATACTTGATAACGAGTTAGAGATGAAGGAGCCTGAGTCAAAATTGATTTCACAAATAACAGAAAATTACAGTGGATTAAACAAGACCACTGTTTATTCAATGTTTCTTTCTTGTTCAAGTAAGAGAAGTCCACCAGTAGCATTCCAAGTCTTGTAGGGCATCATTTCTCAAAACATAAGAGATCCACCATCTTCTTACTTTCTGCCCTGGCATTTCCATCTAATGGATGTAATTTTCAAGGTAAGAAAAAAAAATAGCTGCTGGAATTCTGGTCATTGCTTTTGTGGTGAACAAAAGTTTGGTAGAGAGGATAAAAACAAGCCCATACCAGGTGTTAAAGGGCCAATCCAAAATGCTCCACATGTAAACTTTTGTTTATATAATGTTGGCTTCACTAGCGGTAAGGAAGGTTGATAATGTAGTTGTGTTAACTACCTGAAATATAAATCAGAAATATATTACTGAGAAGTACAGCTAAATACTTTAGAGAGGAAACTAAAAGTCTCTCCTTTACCAATTAAAATGAAGATCAGTATTTGGGGGAAGTAGAAATATTTGGAGGAGGAACTATTTTAAGTTGGAATTTATTGACTTTAAATATGAGTGGATCCTGTAATCCTAGCATTTTGGGAGGCCAAGGAGGGCAGATCATTTGAGCCCAGCAGTTCGAGATCAGCCTGGGCAACATGGTGAAACCCCATTTCTCCAAAAAAAATACAAAAATTGGTTGGGCATGGTGGCATGTGGCTATAGCCCCAACTACTCCAGGGAGCTGAGGCAGGAGGATCACTTGAGTCCCAGAGGCAGAGGTTGCAGTGAGCTGAGATGACTATTGATTGTGTCTTTTGATGCACAAATGTTTTAAATTTTGATGTAGTCCAGTTTACCTCTTTTTTTCTTTTGTTGCCTATGCTTTGGGTGTCATAGCCAAAAAATCATTGCCAGATCCAATAATATGAGGATTTTCCTCTGTTTTCTTCCAAGAGTTTTATTGTAGCTCTTAGATTTGTGTTTTAATCCCTTTTTTATTAATTTTGGTATATGGCATAAGGTAATAGTTCAAATCATTCTTTTGAATGTGGATATACAGTTTTACCAACACCATTTGTAGAAAAAACAGCCTTTTCCTCATTGAATGGTCTTGTCAACCTTGTTAAAAATCACTTCACCACATATGTGAGGGTTTATTTTTGGGCTCTGTATTCTGCTCCATTGGTGTGTATGTCCATTTTTAAGCCACCATATAGTCTTCTGATTACAGTAGCTTTGCAGTAAGTTTTAAAATCAGAAAGTGTGAGACTTTTAACTTTGTGTTTTGTGATTTTTTTTTCAAGATTGTTTTGCTAATTTGTGGTTTTTTGAGACTGCATATAAATTTTTGGAAAGATTTTTCTATCTTTGCAAAATCATAATTGAAATTTTGACAGAGATTACACTGAATCTATAGATCACATTGGGTAATATTGAACTCAACAATATGAAGTCTTCCAGCCCATAAACATGGGATATCTTTTTATTTTTTATGTGACTTTAGTATCTTTCAGCAACTTTTTAAAGTTTGCAGTGTGCACACATTTTGCCTCCTGGGTTAGATTTATTCCTAAGTATTTTACTCTTTTTGATACTGTTTGTAATATTATGCTTTCACATTGCTGATAAAGACATACCTGAGACTGGGTAATTTATCAAGAAAATGAGGTTTAATGGATTCACAGTTCCACGTGGCTGGAGAGGCCTCACAATCATGATGAAACGTGAAAGGGACATCTTACATGGCAGCAGGCAAGAGAGAATGAGAACCAAGAGAAGGGGGTTTCCCCTTATAAAACCTTCTGATCTCACGAGACATATTCACTACCATGAGAATGGTAGGGAGGAAACCGCCCCCATGATTCAATTATTTCCCACTGGGTCCCTCCCAAAACACATGGGAATTATGAGAGCTAAAATTCAAGATGAGATTTGGGTGGATACAAAGCTGAACCATATCACTGTTGTAAATTAAATTGAAAAACTGTTTAGTATTTCTAAGAGTAATTATTACAGAAGGTTTGAAGTATCTGATATTCTCTGTTCTCCCAAGCTTGATACCCCTTCTATCTCTCCATAAATTTGGTTTTTATAATTTTAAAAGGTAATAGTATTAATTTGCATTAATAGTATTTCCTGGGTTTTAAAGTTTACTTTTTAAAACCCAACATTACAGACAGATTTATTCATGTTAATATAAATAGAGTTAATTATTTTAACAATGGTAACAAAGTTTATCATGTGACTCATACAATATTTTTAGTCAGTAAAGAGTTTTAATCTATCTTCTTTTGGTTGTTTTTGCTTTATTTATTTATTTACATTTATTTTTTTCTAGATTCAGGGATTACATGCACAGGTTTGTTACATGGCTGTTTTTTGTATAATATTTCTTTCTTGATAAATTTTGTAAACACTATTTACTTTTTTAAATCAACACAAATTATATATATTTATTATATACAACATGATGTTTTGAAATATGTACACATCATAAAATGGCTAAATTAAGCTAATTAACACATGCATTATTTCATACACTTATCTTTTTTTGTAATGAGAACACTTAAAATCTCTGTTATCAATTTTAAAGACAATACATTGTTATTAGCTATAGTCACCATGTTGTAAAACAGATCTCTTGAACTTATTCCTCCTAACTTAAATTTGTATCCTTTGCTCAACATCTCTTCAACCTCACTCCACCCCACCCCTAGCACTTGTTAACCATCATTTTATTCTGTACTTTTATAAGGTCAACTCTTTAGATTTTACATATAAGTGAGATCATGGTATATTTGTGTTTCTGTGCCTGGCTTCTTACATTTAGCATAATGTCCTCCAGGATTATCCATAGTTTTGTAAAATGACAGCATTTCCTTCTTTTTTGAAGCCAAATAGTGTTCCATTATGTATACATATCATGTTTTTTTGTTCATTCATTAATGAACACATAGATTTATTTTATATCTTAGCTATTTTTAGTAATATTGTAATAAACCTGGGAGTGTAGATATCTCTTCAACACACTGCTTTTATTTCCTTTAAATATATATCTAGTGGTGGGATTACTGGAATATGGTAGTTCTATTTTTGTTTTTTAAAGAAACTTTCACAGTTTACCTAATAATTATGCTAATTTATACTTCCCCTATAGTGTGCAATGATTTTCTTTTCTCCACATCCTCACCAGCATTATTTATCTTTCACCTTGTTAATAACAGTCATTGTAGCAGATGTGAAGTAATATCTCATTGTGGTTTTAATTTGCATTTCTCTGATGATTAGTGATTTTGAACATTTTTTCATATACCTGTTGACCATTTTTATGTCTTCTTTTGAGAAATACAAGACATTTGGGTCCTTTGCCCATTCTTTTAAATGGGTTGTCTCCTTTCAAACTATAAACTATTGAGTTGTTTGAGTTTCTTATATGTTTTGGATATTAACACCTTAACAGATATGTTAAGAAAATGCAAACATTTTCTTTCATTCTACGGGTTGTCTCTTAGTTAATTGTTTACTGAGCAGAAGCATTTCTGTTTGATAAAATCTCAGAACTCAGAATGTAAATTTATTTGGAAATAGGGTTTTTGCAGATACAATTTAGTTAAGGACTGTGAAAAGAGATTATTCTCTATTTAGGATTTCCTCTAGATTTAATGACTGGTATTCTTACAGGAGAAAAAGCTGCAGAGACACACAGAGGAATGTGCCATGTGATGATGAAGGCAAAGATTGCTCTATGTGCCAAGGAACAGGCAGTATTCCTGGCAACAACCAGAAATGAAGAATTATGGAACAGATTCTCGCTCAGAGCCTCCAGAAGTAACCAACTCTGCCAACTCCTTAATTTTGGACTTCTGGTCTCCAGAATTGTGAGAGAATAAATTTTTGTTGTTTTTAGTGATGAAGTTTGCTGTAATTTGTTATGCCAGCCCTAGGAAACTAATGCATTACTTTACAAGTGTTAATTCATTTATCTCTCATAATAGCTGTATGAATTAGTTCCTACTCTTATCCAATTTTATAAATGAGGAAATAAAGCTACAATATACTAAATAATTTACCAAAAGTTACACAGCTGGGAAGTGGTGGAGACAGATGGTAATATACAAATTACTAGAAACATGCCACATTACCTCTTAATGTGGGCTAATTTAGTAATTATGAGCATTCAAATGCATATAGCTAGCTTGACTTGCTAGCATTGACCATCAGAATGATTACTAAATCTTTACTTTCTACCTTGTACGTGTTAGAAAAGGATGGTTAACTGTATTTCCATACGTCAAGAATATTTCTATAAGTTTCTATATAAAAACATTTTCTACCACCAAGATTTAAAACTTGTCACCATGATTTAGTAGAAGTTTACCATAGCACATTTTGATTATACTTATTTGGACATTGCTTTTTAAAGAGCACTAAAGGAATCTGAAAAACTAAAGCAAATGTTAAAAATCCTTTAGGCAGGAAGTATCAGAGGAGTGAAAGCTGGTTTTCATTGTTCAAATAATCATTCTACAATACTTCAGCATTTCACAGTGGCATGTTACATGTGTCATTTTATTTATGTGATGGGAAAGTACAAGGAAGTACAACTTATTTAGTAAATTCAGATTTTGGTAGAGCAATAATCAAGAATAAAATCTTATTATAATATGTCCAATCATAAATTAGCAAATTTTTCTAACTCATTTAAACACAGCTAACTCTTCCTATCTTTCTAACCAATCTAAACTCATCTAAGTTTTCTCGAATCTTTATTTTAGCAATACTATGTTTATATTTTAAAAAAAGAATCACATGTCGATACTTTAGCCATATAAGTATGAGGTTTTTTTCTTTGTGGTTTTTTTTTTTTTTTTTCATGAAGTCTCGCTTTGTCGCCTATGCTGGAATGCAGTGGCATGATCTTGGCTCACTGCAACCTCTGCCTCCCAGATTCAAGCAATTCTCCTGCCTCAGCCTCCCCAGTAGCTGGGATTATAGGTGTGCACCACCACTCCCGGCTAATTTTTGTATTTTTAGTAGAGACTGGGTTTCACCATGTTGGTCAGGCTGGTCTCGAACTCCTGACCTCGTGATCCGCCCTCTTCAGCCTCCCAAAGTCCTAAGATTATAGGCACGAGCCACCGTGCCCAGCCTCCTTTTATTATCTTTTAAATTTTCTCTTTTTTAATTATATTTTTCTTTTAAATTTTCGATTGCATAAGTTCTTTCTTGATAATTAGAGTTTTTACAATCTTTTAGACTTTTAAACATTGACTATTTAATATGTGTTAAATATAATTAGGGTTTATGGAATTGTAAAATTTATTTTGTACCTTGTCGTTGCTTAATGAAGGAAAGTAATTTCATCCAAAAAGGAATTCTTTAAATTTAGAAATAACCTCATGTAATTTTATACATCCTTCTACTTCCCCTCATTAATTAATCTTTAATCACTATCAAAAATTGCCTATTATGCCCCGAAAGCACAGCGCTCCTAGCATTTCTGTAAGTTTTTCTTATTCTCTCTCATTTTTCATTTCCCTGTACACATTTGTAATACAGGAAAATGAAGTTAGAAATGTATATATCTATGTGCCTATGCTGACAAACAAATAATTCTTCAACAGTTTTTCATTGAGAATCTACTATATACATGGCATTATACTAGATGCAGTGGGTAAATATTACATTATTAATATTGTTTAGATTAGACAAACTGCAGTTAAATTATTAGTAAAAGTCTTAAAATATTGCCCTTTGGCTTTTTGAAATTACAAAAACATGTTAGGTAATGTTTTTAAAGGTTCTTTTGTATTCTCTTATAGTGGCGTTGATTATCAATGATGCCAAGAGCAATCTCCTTTTTAAATTTCTTTTATCAGTCAGTAAAGCCCATCTACAAATATAAATTGTGGTCAAAACTACTCTACATGAGAATGCTTCAAACTACTAGTGACTTGTGGATTGGTAAAGATAAGCAAATTGATAAAATAATAATGATAATAATCCTGCTAATAAAAGCATATCTAAGTTGCCAGCAAATGTTGTTTTAAATTATGTTAGTGAGTATGGAGACACTGTGTTGGTAACCGTGCTTGCTCATCAGAATACCTGTGTGAACTGAGCTTTAAGCACTGGAGATAAAATGTTAACAAGGAGAAGGCCCTGAATACCACATTGAGCATTTTATTTTATTTTGAGTGTCAGTTGAAAGGCACTTATGGATCCTCAGAATGGGAATCATGAAACATTATATTTGACAAAATATTTCCCTCTGAGAGCTTCACAAGAGTTTGGAGACAAGAATGCCATCATTTGAAAAAAAAATTTTTTTTCAGTAGTTTGACTACAGGTAGTGATGACTTAAACTGAGGCTCTAACTGTAATAACAGAGCAAAGAATAATTCCAGAAAACAGCATGATGAGCTGCATTTGGTAATTACTCAAACACAGGAGAAAGAGAATAACAGATACAAATGAGACTTGAAAACAAATACAGAGTATTCTGTGACAAAACAAGAGTGATCAACTATCTTTCTAATCACAATGTTTACGAAAGGCCACATTGCAAAGTTGACTACACAAACCAAGAATATAATTCTCCATATACAAAAGATATTTAATTTCTAAACAGCATGATCCACTGTTCTGCATATTTTTAGTGTGGCAGAAGACAAAGTGCTTTTCCTGAAAATTTTAAGTAAACTCTTTTTTTTTTTTTTCTGCTCTGTTATTTTATGCCAACAATAGTCAGTAGATTGAATGGCCATCCATACCCAGAGAAATGTTACTGATGAATTAGTGTCAGCCCGGGGAGACATAACGAGTGATGTTTTGAAGGGGTCACCTTTACATTGAGGGCTGCTTAAGTGTTTCTTCAATGACCTGGAAAATGAAATAGAGAATAGGCTCATCAAATTTGTAGATGAGTTCAATCTCCTGAAGAGAATAAGGACAGAACGACTCATGGAAGATGGATTCAGTATTCAAAATGAACTTGGCAAATTGGAAAGGCAGTGAGAGATGAACTGAACGAAGTTCAAAGAGGTCAGATTCAAGTTAGTGCAACACAGACAAACATCCAATGTCAAAAGATACACAACAATATATTTGTTCTAATGGGGGTAAGGTGATTTAGAATAGTGTTTGAAATATTCTCTTTATTGATGCCATGCCAAAAAAAGAGTGGGGAATGGTACCTGTAATGGCAGCCTGGCACAGAAAAAACAAATTCACCACATTCTAAAACTTCCTTTGGAAATTACCTAGGGGCTCAAATCCTCACAAAGATTTTCTATGTAACAGTTCAGCAATAGATATTTACTAGATGGATTTATCTGTGTTGTTTTTGTTGTTTTAATGCTACATCACAAACATTTGCTACATACATTTGTTATGTAGCATTAAAACTATATTTAATGTAGCTAATAAGTATAAATAAGTATAGTTCAAAAAATTAGGATCAAGTACTTAAAGAATAACTTATGCTCGTAAAAAAATATTTTGTGTATTTTGAATATTTTTCTTAATCACATTGTTTACAATATTAAGTCATTCAACAACCAGTCAAGAAATAATAGTTAAGTAATAACCATGTGTGGTACTCAGTTAAGTACTGGTATGCGGCTGTGGAATAAGCAATAGAATCTCTGACCTCAGTGAGCCCATATCTAGGGCAGGAGTCAGCAAACTGTAAAAGGCCAGATAGTAAATACCTTAGACTTTTGTTGGCCATATGGTATCTGTTGCAATGAGTCAACTCTGCTGTTGTAGCACAAAACCAGCCACATACAATACACAAATAAAGAGGTATGGCTGTGTTCCCATAGACATTTCTTTATAAAAAATAGGCAGTAGGGCAAATTTGGCCCATGGGTCTTAGTTTGCCAACCCCTGTTCCAGGGGATAAGATAGGCATTAAACAAGCAAAAATTTGATATAAACACAAATAGAGTGTCATGTGATAAAATACTGAGAGATGGTCAAGAAGACTATTTTAGAGTGTGTGGTTTGGAAAGGTTTTACTGAGGAAGTGACATTTCAGATGAGACATGAAGAATGTTCATGGTTTGTCAATCCACACTGCGACAAAGGCTCTGGAGCAGAATGACATTTGTGCAGGTGATGCCCTAAAAAAGGCCAGGCAGCAACAGATACAGGGCCTGTTCTAAGTAAGGGGAATGAGATGGTAAAAAAGAAAAGGTAGCTACCATCCAGACAGAGTATTATGTTCCAATGGAATGAGGCAGTTTAAAAAATAACTGTACACACATAAATGAGGCAGAGAATTTCAGATCATGAAAAGTGCTGCAGAGAAGATGAAGCAAGTTCATATGATAGTATGATTTGGTAGCAAGGGATGTATGAGCATGACACATTTGACCTGAAAATAAAGAAGAATACAGCTTTGAAAACACCTGAATGGAGGGAGTTCCAGCCTGAGGAAACAGTAATGACAAGGCTCAAAGATGAAAGTAAGCTTAGTATGATATAGGGTCAGAAAAAAGGCTGAGGTGGACACAGCATCTTTTGGAAGTGGTAACATTTACTGTGATGTATAAGATTGAGGGAGGAGCAGAACTAGAAAGAAATATCATAAATTCTGTTTTGGTTTTGTCAAGTTTTCATGGCTTCATAGCATCTAAACCAAGATCTTCAATATGCAGTTGGATACATGAGCCCAGGGCCCAGAGCAAGAAAACGGCTAGGGCTGGAAGTATAAATTTGGGAAGATGTCAATGTCTTTGGGTGTAGTGAGTTATGAAGACTCTGGCATAAGAAATTAGAAAGGTAAGCAGAGTCATATCATGTAGGGCCTTGCATGCCATATGTTAACCAGGTTATATTTTCTTCCAAAAGTACTGAGAAGAAATTGCATGACTTTTAAACAGGGGAGTGACGTGATTCAGTTTAAAAGAGGTTATCGTTATTGTGGATCCCTTATTTGTGAATTTGTCTACTCATACCCAGAAAAATCTATACTCGCAGCATTTGTATGGTCACTCACCAACATACACAGGTAGCAAAAATTTGAGTCTCCAGATGCCCATGTGCCCAGCTGAGGCTGAACAAGGTGATGTTCTGCTTTCTTGTTTCAGTTCTCATACTATGTAAGTTTTCTTTTTGTGGTCTATTTAGCGCCACATTTCCCTCATGCTTATGCTTTTTGTTGCTGATTTTGTGATTTAAAATGGTCTCCAGCCATAGCGCTGACATGCTGTCTAGTGTTCCTAAGTGCAAGATGTCTGTGATGTGCCTTAAGGGACAGATACCTGTGTTAGATGAGCTTTATACAACCATGAATTATGGTGCTGTTGGTCCTGAGGTTCAAAGTTAATGAATCAATGCTATATATTAAATAAAGTGTCTTTAACAGAAACACACTTAAAACAAGATTATGTATTAACTGGTTGATAAAAATTTTGCAGCCAGAAAATTTGCAGGAACCTAACCTTGTGTTTCCCCAAGGAGCAATGATTCCATATTCGCTAATTCAGTGTTTGCAGTAATGTTTGCAGCAACTTCCTAAAACATAACTACCTTTAATAAAGAGGATTGACTGAATATCTCAAAAAGACTACGCTGAATTACATGGGTTATTTTATCTGTCATTAAGTAAAATGTAAAGTGCAGTTTTACTTGGCTTTTCCTGCCCTGGCCTTGAAATCAACAAATACAATTATATAAATGTGTGAAACTAAAGCCAAGGGCTTAGCACAGTGAATGATGAATACTCTTTCCTCCAGTGTTAGCTGCTGCTGCTGCTGCTGTTTCCAATGCCCTATACAGGGATGCCCTATTTCTACCCTGAGATAGCATTCCTGAGGGACAAAGTGGCAACCCCAGCAGATTAACCAAGATATGTTCCCTAAAGGGAACCATGACAGTCTCTGCTCATGCCTGTTGTTTCAGCCAGTATCCCACTCTGTTGGTGGTCCCTTTTTTGGTACAAAAAAATTATTTGCTCACGCTATGCAGAGATGTTTCAAATATAAAAATATGAAATATGGATTTAGTGGTGGAGCAGCTGCCATTTAGCCTGAGAATCAGTTAGACAAGGGGCTAGGGACTGGGGAGTGTTCTAGGCCAGTGTGTTCTAATCAGGAACAGAATAGGAGGTGGCTGTCTTAGGGTCAAAGAGAGATGTTGGAGCTAAAAGCCGCAAGAGCAGGAAGTTTTCAGAGAAGGATTTTGGCAGCGATGGAGCAGAAAATATGTTTACAACAGCACCATGGGGAAAACGAAGTAACAGGAATGCTGTAGAAAGTTGAATTTGGAGAGAGTTATCAAATCACAAAATGTAAAAAGCAAATTTTTAAAAATGTGAAAAAAAACATAGTCATAGATATATAATGAAAACAGAAAGGATTACATAAATGTAAACATAAAATGTTGATTTTATTCTTGACTTTATTTCTTCAATTCTCTTTTTTTCCTGCCATTCTCTAGTTTTCCCCTTCATGACCTAAATTTTATTTCAGAAACCCATTGTTTAATACCTAAGTTCACAGTGATCTCTTCTATTCTCCTTGCATCACACATCTAGTCCCTTTGCTCACCTAAGTTCTTCCTCCTCAATGTCTTATTTTTCCCCAATCCCTCCTGCTCACACTCTTGCCTGAACTATGTCAGCCACCCTCAATTCTTTGCCTCATCGCTGATACCTCTAAAGTCATGACCTATAGACATTTTTTAAAAAGTAAATTAAAGATTTTCTAAAAATTTGTTTGTTTTAGTTTTCTCTTTCATCTTTATATCTATCTGTTGAATATTGTGCTAATCTCTTTTTCATTCTGTAATCCTATTTTCACTCAGTCAACTCTTATTCTCTGTCTCATCTATGTTAGTTTTCTTTTTCTTTCCTTTTTCTTTGTTTCAATTGGTCAAATAAAGTATAATTTTAATGTTTCTTCTTTTTTCTTATGTTCCAAATTTTAAGTGAATTGTTTATTTTCTTTAAAAAATAAAGTTTACTATAATATTATTCTTTACTAAGAAGTCTTGCCGTGTGTGTGTTCTGATTCCTGTCCAACTCTCCTGCTGCATCTAAAGCCACTATTTACTAACCTGTACCCAATCCAGAGCCTTGTTTCAGTTTCTCCCTAGAGCAAGCTCTTGCTAATTTCAAGGGTTGTCAATTCACAATTTCCTCCTCTTTGGATAGCTTTTCCTAGTCTTCATTACTCCTAGCAGTTTCTTAGTTTAAATGTCACTTCCTCAAATAGGTCTGCCCTGACCAGACCAATCAATAGATATTCACTGAATACTGTGATCATTAATATTGAGTGTCAACCTGATTGGATACAAAATATTGTTCTTATGTGTGTCTGTGAGGGTGTTGCCAAAGAAGATTAACACTTGAATCAGTGGACTGGGAGAGGCAGACCCACTCTCAATCTGGGCGGGCACCATCCAATCAGTTGCCAGCACAGCTAGGATAAAATCAGGCAGAGGAAAGTGGATGGGCTAGACTGGCCTGAGTCTTCTGCATTCATCTTTCTCCCATGCTGGTGGATGCTTCCTGCCTTTGGACATCAAACTCCAAGTTTTTCAGATTTTGGACTCTTGCACTTATACCATTGGTTTGCCAGGGGCCCTCAGACCTTCAACCACATACTGAAGGCTGGACTGTCGGCTTCCCTGCTTTTGAGATTTTGGGACTCAGACTGGCTTCCTTGTTTTTCAGCTTGCAGACAGCCTACTGTGAGATTTCACCTTGTGATTGTGTGAGTCAATACTCTTTACTAAACTCCCCTTTATATATACACCTATACTATTAGTTACGTCCCTCTAGAGAACCCTGGCTAATACAATTACTAACTACACAGCAGAATTTGTCCTAGACAATGGGAATACAGCAGTGAGTAAAACAGACAAAAACCTCTGCCCTCATGGAGTTTAAAAGGTAGTGGGAAGACAGACAAGAAAGCAAGAAGTAAAATCCTGTTATGACAGATGGTCTGAGTCACAGGAAAAATGAAGAAGGAAAGGGAATGAGAAAGACCGGTGTGTTTGGGGGTTGTATGTTTCAAAATGTTCTTCAGGGAAGGCCTCTGTGAAAAATTAGTTCTTTGCTAAACACTCAAGAATGTGAAGGCTTGTACCACATGGAAATATGCATAAGAGTATGGCAGGCTGAAGAAATGTGAAGTCCAAAGGGACTGAGGAGGAAAAAGCTAGGAAATGCAAATAGCTGGAGCCTGCTGAGCAAGGGCAAGTGCAGCAGAAGATGAGGCCAGGCAGGCAACTGGGCACCAGGCTGGGATGACCTTAGGCTCTAACACTGATTGAGATGAGAAGCCATGGACAGATTAAGCAGAGTGACACGTTCTGTATTACACTTGACCCACATTACTCTGGCAGCTGGGTTGAGACTCTATTGAGGCAGAGTAAAAGTAGTCTAAAGGAGCACTTTTCACCCCCCATAAAGTGCATTATTATGTATTCAATTTTATATTCATTTATTTAGCATCATGTCTCTCATCCGTTGAAATATATGCACCATGAGGACCAGAACAAAGTTTTGTTGACAATATCTCTTTTCCCAACAGGTGATGAGTCTGAGTTTTTGGACACATAGTAGGTACTGAATAAATAATTGCTGTTGAAAACATTAAACAATCCTATGATGCATGATTTCCACCTTAGAAATGGGGAAACGGCGTTTCTGGGAAGTTAGATTGCCCAGGAAAGTGGGATAATGGGAATTGAATTTTTTTTTTCAATTCCAAAGTCAAATGTTTTAAATAAATGCAATACTCTGATAATATTTTATATATTTTTCTATAAATATTGTAATCAATACTTGAGTTATAAATTAATGGAACACATTAAAATTCACGTAACTTTTTGTTTGCCACATTTCAACTAGAAAGATTCACACTTCTTATTATAATTTAACATTGCATTTCCCAATATTATTCATGGAGTGTTAGTCCATTATATGAACTACATATATAAAGAAGACAAGGGAAAAAAAAAAAGCAATCTTCCCTCTTCCTTCCACAATGATGGAATACATTTCAAAAACAACTGTGGTTTTTGTTTATGGCAGCATGAAGATCTCTAGGGATTTGAATCTTTACAGTATATCTTGGACTCAGCGAAGGTAGAATAGAATCACATTTCCAGGAGGTTACCTAATATCATAAAAGGCTTTTGCTAAATCTCAAGTGATCTGCAGTAACATTTTACTGCTCCGTTGCTATAGCTTTCCACATGTAAGTGTATATAAGCTGTCTGAGAGTCTTCAAAAGTGAACTTCGATGGACAATCCATCATTAGTATATCTTTCCCATTAAAAGAAAAAAAATGGTGAATGTATTTCACCAATGATGCTCAAAATTCTGAGATTTTTTTTTCTATCTTAAAAAAATGTCATTCCAAACTAGGCTAAATTAATCTGTTTTTTAAAAGTAATTTTTAAACACAAAATCTTTCAATAATACATTTATCTGTCTAAAGCGAAACATCAGTTGAGCAGTCTTTTAAATGGAAAAATGGGAAGATGTGATAACATGAATTCCAGGAAATTTACTTTTTGAATCTTGAACCTCATAAAAATGATACAGTCTTATCTGGAATATTCATGTGTTCCTATGTTTCAAACATGTGCTTTGAAGGAGGAAAATAGTAGGAATGGTGGAAAGAAATGCTTTCTACTAACATCAAAGATTTCTTCTTCAGAGTCTTGAAACTACCACAAATACAAGCTAACCTCAAACTAAGAAATTAACCTATATGATACAGTCTGCCTTGTGAGCAAGGCACACAAGATTTTATTATGATGTTTCTTTAATTTAGAACATTGGTTACCAGTCAGATACAAGTTTCAGGGGAATAATATGCAGTAAGAATTGTTTATAATTTCTCTTCTTTATCTTCTGCTCAAGAACATATTAGAAGCTGTAAATAAGACCCTGATAATGCAAATTTCATTTTAGCAAACCTTATTTTCCCCCGTAACACAATGAAGCTCTGTAATATACCAGCTAGTCAATTTTGGCAATTCAACTAACTATAAATTGAACTAACAATTAAACTAATCTAGATATTTATCATTTTATGGCAAACATTCAGATAGTTAATTGCGTATTTCAAATTAAATGTATATTTTCTCTGAACACACTTTTAGGTTTATTTTAAAGTTTATTAAGTGGCCATTTCAGACTTTTGGAGTTTATTTTTCCTGTTTAAAAATTAGAATAAATGAAGCATACTACAGTAGGAATTCTCCTGGAAACATATAGTTCAAAGAAATTTCTGGAGACGTCGTTGTAGCCCTGCAGAGCCTTTCTTTGTTGCCTACAAGGTTTCCCCCAATTAAATATTCTATCAGTGCTGTGGGCATACCAGTATTTTTATAGCTTCTGATATCCGGGATCTGGTATCTGCTTCTGTCATAGTTCTATTTATTTCTTCTGTATGCCTTGCCACTTAGGAAGAAAACATATTTTATGAAAAATACTTTTCTTCTACCCTTGGGAGCCCCAGAGAAAGAAGCACAAGGTTGGGATGACCTGTAACATATTGTTTATGGCTGTATCCAACAAGCAACATTTTGTATGTCTACATATGGTGCAAGTCTTATTTTAATTCGGCCCTTGGGACTTCAATCCAATAATGCTGCCAAAATATACTCTTCTAAGTTCAGTGATAATAGAGTCTGAGGACAGCACACTTCCAAGCTTTCCAGCTTATAGATGGCTTAATTTTTCTACACATTTTATACATATGCATAGTAAAACATACGTAAATAGTATTTGTGACTTTATTTTATGCTTAAGCCCGAACTGTGTTGTGGTAAGTCAATGTCTGTTTACTTTTATTAATAGAATTATGTCTTTACTATTTTGGTGTATTTTTCTTTTGTTTACAGTGCAACCAAATACATGTGACATCTGTTAGGTGCTTGAACTTTTTCAGACACAGGTACACATTTTTTTTTTTGTAACTCAAATGCTTATTTTACAAAGTGAAATATGGAATATCCAAACACATTGTAATGTCCCATCAGAACTGTTGCTTTTTCTGGATCTGTTTCAGGGTTTTTGGCCCAAGCATAGAAAGGTGTCCACTGATTTTACAAGCCAAGCCTGACACATGTTTTTTACAGAACTCTAGAATGGAGTAAAGAAAATTGTTCATATTTAGGTCACAACAATGCCTTGGGGAAGAACAAGTGTGCTCACTAAGTCTGTATTACACTTAATGCTCTGGCCTCTGTGTCAAGGCTTTATTCTGTGCTGTTTTCTAGATTAGAGTGTTAATTATCACTACAAGTATATCACATATTTGTCTTTAAACCTTGAATGATTGTGAACAGAGAAGCAGCCTAGGTTAACGTAGCTCCCATTAAAATGCAAACTATGTACAGGGTTTGTTTTTTTTTCTTCTCACTGCCATGTAATCAAAAGGAAGGACAGCAAAACCACTATAAATGGCTTTGCAGTATTTTTTCCCGTAATGCCTTTAGTTTATTTCTGGGCTTAAACTAGGTAAACCATCACTTAAAATCATATTCCCCAAACTTGTCACTTCTTATTAAAAGCCTAAATGAGCCAGATGAAATAAAGATTGTTTTTACTTACAAAACATTTAGCTTCTCAGTCTAAATCTAATAGTATTGAAACATTTTAATTCAAATATATTGGATGTAATTTTATTGCAAACTAAACTATTCATATAGATCAAATAAGACAGTATTTAAACAAAGTCACATCTGTAGACTGAGTAATGGCAAATTCAATATTCTTTGCTTTATAGTTACAGACTAAAACAGGTTATCTAGGCACTCCCCATTAATATCAGTAATTCATTTCTGAAAATCAGAAGTTCTGTGTGAGAATAACTACTGGAAATCCATTTCATATTGTATCAATGGGAGAAATTATAATGCATTGCATGTCAATCTCCAATCTTCAACCAATTATTTAATATGAGTATGTATAAGTAACAAACTACCACGTTAGAATGTTAAATGTTTTAAAACATGAGTTCCTGATGACCAAAAGAATAATATGTGCCATTTAAAAGAAGCAGTAAGTGCAGTACACTGTGTGGTTTGCACTCCTTACCATAAGCATTTATTTTTGAAAAGGCATGTCAAATGCAATATAATAAACATATTTAGAAAAAAACGGAGTTATACAAAATATAATGAAATTATCTAAAAATATAGAATGACAAATGAAAACTAGGGGATTGTTCTGGTTATCTCTTAATGCCTAAGATTATCAACACTTACAGTTCTGTGGGTTGACTGGACTCTGCAGTATCCTTCTAGCTTAGGGTTTTTCACATGGTGACAGTCAGATGGAAGCTGGCATTGTAGTTATCTAAAGGTGCAGCTGGATTGGATGTCCAAGATTGTTCATGTACACAGCTGGCAGTTGATACTAGCTGTTGCCCAGGACCTGGAGCCATCTAGCAGAGCACCTATACCTGATCTTCTCATGGTATGGTGACTAACTTCATATAGGAAACATTCCAAGAGCAAGCATTTCAAGACGTCCAAGCAAAATCTGCAAGTCTTCTTATTTAGCTTCAGAAGTCCCAGAACATTATTTCTGTTGCATTCTCTTAGTGACAAGTTTATTTTAAGATCAGCTCAGATTTAAAGAGAAGGAGATTTAGATTCTACCTCTTGGTGTCAGATGCAGCATAAGCATGTGCATATAAGGAAGGAAAATAATTTATAGTGAGCATATTTGAAGATTGTCCACCACAGAAATTAGCAAACTACAACTTCCAGGCAAAATCTGTCTTACCACCTGGGTTTTTAAATACAGCTTTATCGTAACAGTGCCACACTCATTAGTTTACATATTGTCTATGTCTGTGTTCACTATATAAGGGCAGAGTTGAGTAATTGTGACAGAGAACATATGTCCCACAAAGTCTAAGGTACTATTAGACAAAGGTTGCTGAACCCTTCTTTAACAACAATTTTCTGGAACAAACGGTTATTAGCTGAGGTAGAGACTTGAAGCTTTAAGAAAAGTTCAGAAATAAGGTGGGAAAGAGAAGTAGATCAGTGTCACTGGGTGTGAAAGATGATGGTGTGGATGAGCCAGGTGAAAAAGGGAGAATTTTAGGTAAACTATTAAGACTCGGAGGCTCTACCTTAGATTTTTCATTATTTTGGTGTTCCTATTGACATTCCAAAGCAAAAAGATCTTGAAATATTTTTAGTGGATTTAGCAAAGTCTTTTGAATTTTAAAACCAATACAAAATGCAGCTTTACTTATGTTCTTATTTGTGTGTGCATATGTGTGTGTTTGGAATTATGTGAATGGTGTTATAAAGGACAGACCATTTTAAAAGAAAGGACACTCATGATACATTCAAAGACAATGCTTATTGTTGCATAATCCACATTTCTTCAAGCTAATGGTGTCTTGCATTTTGATTGACTACTCTTTTAGGTTTTTTACACCATGGTCTTCTTCAGACTAGGTGAAACCTAGAAGCCTTTCAGTTATTTCTTTGATCTCTTCTAACCTAGTTACTATTGCAAGAGCAAAACTTTTCGTTTTGGCATTGACTATCTTTTCAAAGCTTTTGAAATTAACCACAATTGCAGGATCTGTTTCTTCGATATACTGTTCATCATTTGTGGAGAAACTCTTTGCCATGCCTTATCAATGATTTCTAAAACCTTTTTATGTAAAAGCATTTCCAAAGGCCTTTCAGTGAATCTTCTTGATTGGCAGACACACTGTAGACCACATATTGTTTGCATAGGGAAATAAGCACAAGAAGCTACAAAGGAGGCAATACCGTACTAGTTCACAGGATGCATTAGAGAGGTCCTGTTTGAGAGAAGGAAAGCCACCTGAATGTTGTCACTACATATTACCACACTGTGTGGTTGTCTAGGAATATTGTCAATAATGTGTAAAGCCTTCTTTGTGAGGTTTTATTTGGCTGTTTCTCCTTCAGGAAGCAGAGTTATTAGCATCGTATGTAATTTACAAAAACCTTCTCATTAACTAGTGTTGATATTGAAACTCCAGACAAATGATAATTTTTTTGAACATTTTTTGAGGGCATGGAGATTTACAAAATGATCATTAGAAAAGGTTGAAACTTAACTCCCAGCAATGAAGGTGATCTCTTCTGGATACTTTGTGATCCAATGCTTTCTTCTCCTATAGTAACATAAATGGTGAGAAAGACATATACTTTCAAAACTCAAATTTGTTTTGCCTATAATTTTTTACATTGAATGATTGCTCACTTGTATAGACTCTTTCATCAATACTTTTTAAAAATTAGATGGTAATGTGATGTTCACCTCACTGTCAGCTATAGCTGCCTCCCCTGTTGTCTTGATGTTGTGGAATATGGCTTAAATATACAGCAAAACTAAGGGCTCCCTGCTTTATTAATTATCCTTCTCTATGACATTCTTCCCCTTAAGCTTCTCAAACATGTTCGCAGTCTCCCAGATCAACACAGTACAGAAAAAAGTGTCTTAATCACTTTGGCTTAACATCTACTTTTCCAGGTTTATTCTAAGCTTTCCTAACATAGAACAGTGTATTATTTCCTCCACTGCACATATTGCTACCAAAGTGCTTTATGGCTTTCATTTTTTTTTTCACTGCTTATTATGATAGCACACAAGGTGATGATTAAATAGTGCAGTATGCACATGATGCCTTTGGTGGGCTGGCTGTCCGTTGTCAAAACACTATTAACTTCATTTTCTCTTCTATTGTAATCATCCCTCATACTCTTCATACTCTTTTCTAACTTTTTCATGTTTTTTTTAAACTTTTTCAAACTTATGAAGGTATTTTATAACATGAGACAAAAATAAAGCCTACATATAAGTATACATTGTAAAAATAAGTTTAGGACATCGTATAGCTGAGGAAAAATAGTTACACTAAGTGTGATCCTGTGATGACCCTCTTGGTGCTAGAAATATTTGATATTCATGTCCCTTTTATTAGCACTCAAAATACCTTTTAAAATATCACGTGATTTTGCTATTTTACTGTTAGATTTCAAATGTAACATGAGACATTACTTCCACATAATTTTGTAAAAATATTTCAGTTTGGAAATTTATATTTGATCAACTGGAAGAAAGGGTATCAGTGATTGAAGATGAAATGAATGAAATGAAGTGAGAAGAGAAGTTTAGAGAAAAAAGAATAAAAAGAAACGAACAAAACCTCCAAGAAATATGGGACTATGTGAAAAGACCAAATCAACATCTGATTGGTGTACCTCAAAGTGATGGAGAGAATGGAAACAAGTTGGAAAACACTCTGCAGGATATTATCCAGGAGAACTTCCTCAACCTAGCAAGGTAGGCCAACATTCAAATTCAGGAAATACAGAGAATGCCACAAAGATACTCCTCGAGAAGAGCAACTCCAAGACACAGAATTGTCAGATTCACCAAAGTTGAAATGAAGGAAAAAATGTTAAGGGCAGCCAGAGAGAAAGGTCGGGTTACCCAAAAAGGGAAGCCCATCAGACTAACAGCTGATCTCTCGGCAGAAACTCTACAAGAAAGAAGACAGTGGGGGCCAATATTCAACATTCTTAAAGAAAGAATTTTCAAACTAGAATTTCATATCCAGCCAAACTAAGCTTCATAAGTGAAGGAGAAATAAAATCCTTTACAGACAAGCAAATGCTGAGAGATTTTGTCACCACCAGGCCTGCCCTAAAAGAGTTCCTGAAGGAAGCACTAAGCATGGAAAGGAACAACCGGTACAAGCCACTGCAAAAACATGCCAAATTGTAAAGACCATCGAGGCTAGGAAGAAACTGCATCAACTAACGAGCAAAATAACCAGCTAACAACATAATGACAGGATCAAATTCACACATAACAATATTAACTTTAAATGTAAATGGGTTAAATGCTCCAATTAAAAGACACAGTCTGGCAAATTGGATAAAGAGTCAAGATAAAGTGTGCTGTATTCAGGAAACCCATCTCACGTGCATAGACACACATAGGCTCAAAATAAAGGGATGGAGGAAGATCTACCAAGCAAATGGAAAACAAAAAAAGGCAGGGGTTGCAATCCTAGTCTCTGATAAAGCAGACGTTAAACCAACAAAGATCAAAAGAGACAAAGAGGGCCATTACATAACGGTAAAGGGATCAACTCAACAAGAAGAGCTAACTATCCTAAATATATATGCATCCAATACAGGAGCACCCAGATTCATAAAGCAAGTCCTTAGAGACCTACAAAGGGACTTAGACTCCCACACAGTAATAATGGGAGACTTTAACACCCCACTGTCAACATTAGACAGATCAACGAGACAGAAAATTAACAAGGATATCCAGGAATTGAATTCAGCTCTGCACCAAGCGGACCTCATAGACGTCTACAGAATTCTCCACCCCAAATCAACAGAATATACATTCTTCTCAGCACCACACTGCACCTATTCCAAAATTGACCACATAATTGTAAGTAAAGCATTCCTCAGCAAATGTAAAAGAACAGAATTTATAACAAACTGTCTCTCAGACCACAGTGCAATCAAACTAGAACTCAGGATTAAGAAACTCACCCAAAACCGCTCAACTATGCAGAAACTGAACAACCTGCTCCTGAATGACTACTGGGTAAAGAACGAAATGAAGGCAGAAATAAAGATGTTCTTTGAAACCAACGAGAACAAAGACACAACACACCAGAATCTCTGCGACACATTTAAAGCAGTGTGTAGAGGGAAATTTATAGCACTAAATGCCCACAAGAGAAAGCAGGAAAGATCTAAAATTGACATCCTAACAACACAATTAAAAGAACTAGAGAAGCAAGAGCAAACACATTCAAAAGCTAGCAGAAGGCAAGAAATAACTAAGATCAGAGCAGAACTGAAGGAAATAGAGACACAAAAAACCCTTCAAAAAATCAATGAATCCAGGAGCTGGTTTTTTGAAAAGATCAACAAGATTGATAGACCACTAGCAAGACTAATAAAGAAGAAAAGACAGAAGAATCAAATAGATGCAATAAAAAATGATAAAGGGGATATCACCACCAATCCCACAGAAATACAAACTAACATCAGAGAATACTATAAACACCTCTATGCATATAAACTAGAAAATCTAGAAGAAATGGATAAATTCCTCGACACTAAAATTCCCAAGACTGAAACAGGAAGAAGTTGAATCTCTTAATAGACCAGTAACAGGCTCTGAAATTGAGGCAATAATTAATAGCTTACCAACCAAAAAAAGTCCAGGACAAGATGGATTCACAGCCGAATTCTGCCAGAGGTACAAAGAGGAGCTGGTACCATTCCTTCTGAAACTATTCCAATCAATAGAAAAAGAGGGAATCCTCCATAACTCATTTTAAGAGGCCAGCATCATCCTGATACCAAAGCCTGGCAGAGACACAACAAAAAAACAGAATTGTAGACCAATATCCCTGATGAACATTGACGCAAAAATCCTCAATAAAATATTGGCAAACTGAATCCAGCAGCACATCAAAAAGCTTATCCACCATGATCAAGTGGGCTTCATTCCTGGGATGCAAGGCTGGTTCAATATATACAAATCAATAAACGTAATCCAGCATATAAACAGAACCAAAGACAAAAAACACATGATTATCTCCATAGATGCAGAAAAGGCCTTCAACAAAATTCAACAGCCCTTCATGCTAAAAAACTCTCAATAAATTAGGTATTGATGGGATGTATCTCAAAATAATAAGAGCTATTTATGACAAACCCACAGCCAATATCATACTGAATGGGCAAAAACTGGAAGCATTCCCTTTGAAAACTGGCACAAGACAGGGATGCCCTCTCTCACCACTCCTATTCAACATAGTGTTGGAAGTTCTGGCCAGGGCAATCAGGCAGGAGAAAGAAATAAAGGGTATTCAATTAGGAAAAGAGGAAGTCAAATTGTCCCTGCTTGCAGATGACATGATTGTATATCTAGAAAACCCCATTGTCTCAGCCCAAACTCTTAAGCTGATAAGCAACTTCAGCAAAGTCTCAGGATACAAAATCAATGTGCAAAAATCAAAAGCATTCTTATACACCAATAACAGACAAACAGAGAGCCAAATTATGAGTGAACTCCCATTCACAATTGCTTCAAAGAGACTAAAACACCTAGGAATACAACTTACAAGGGATGTGAAGGACTGCTTCAAGGAGAACTACAAACCACTGCTCAACGAAATAAAAGAGGATACAAACAAATGGAAGAACATTCCAGGCTCATGGGTAGGAAGAATCAATATTGTGAAAATGGCCATACTGCCCAAGGTAATTTATAGATTCAATGCCATCCCCATCAAGCTACCAATGACTTTCTTCAGAGAATTAGAAAAAACTACTTTAAAGTTCATATGGAACCAAAAAAGAGCCCGCATTTCCAAGTCAATCCTTAGCCAAAAGAACAAAGCTGGAGGCATCACGCTACCTGACTTCAAACTATACTACAAGGCTACAGTAACCAAAACAGCATGGTACTGGTACCAAAACAGAGATATAGATCAATGGAACAGAACAGAGCCCTCAGAAACAGGACCACACATCTACAACTATCTGATCTTTGACAAACCTGACAAAAACAAGAAATGGGGAAAGGATTCCCTATTTAACAAATGGTGCTGGGTAAACTGGCTAGCCATATGTAGAAAGCTGAAACTGGATCCCTTCCTTAACCTTATACAAAAATTAATTCAAGATGGATCAGACTTAAATGTTAGACCTAAAACCATAAAAACCCTAGAAGAAAACCTAGGCAATACCATTCAGGACATAGACATCGGCAAGGACTTCACGTCTAAAACACCAAAAGCAATGGCAACAAAAGCCAAGATTGACAAATGGGATCTAATTAAACTAAAGAGCTTCTGCACAGCAAAAGAAATTACCATCAGAGTGAACAGGCAACACACAGAATGGGAGAAAATTTTTGCCATCTACCCATCTGACAAAGGGATAATATCCAGAATCTACAAAGAACTCCAACAAATTTACAATAAAAAACAACCCCATCAAAAAGTGGGCAAAGGATATGAACAGACACTTCTCAAAAGAAGACATTTATGCAGCCAAAAGACACATGAAAAAATGCTCATCATCACCGGCCATCAGAGAAATGTAAATCAAAACCACAATGAGATACCATCTCACACCAGTTAGAATGGCGAGCATTAGAAAGTCAGGAAAAAACAGGTGCTAGAGAGGATGTGGAGAAATAGGAACACTTTTACACTGTTGGTGGGACTGTAAACAAGTTCAACCATTGTGGAACACAGTGTGGTGATTCCTCAGGGATCTAGAGCTAGAAATACCATTTGACCCAGCCATCCCATTACTGGGCATATATCCAAAGGAATATAAATCATGCTGCTATAAAGACACATGCACACGTATGGTTATTGCGGCACTACTCAACTATAGCAAAGACTTGGAACCAACCCAAATGTCCATCAATGATAGACTGGATTAAGAAAATGTGGCACATATACACCATGGAATACTATGCAGCCATAAAAAAGGATGAG
Source organism: Homo sapiens (assembly GCF_000001405.40). NCBI lineage: Eukaryota > Metazoa > Chordata > Mammalia > Primates > Hominidae > Homo > Homo sapiens. The sequence goes on from NC_000007.14 coordinate 84,522,189, forward strand.
TTCATGTCCTTTGTAGGGACATGGATGAAGCTGGAAACCATCATTCTCAGCAAACTATCGCAAGGACAACAAACCAAACACCGCATGTTCTCACTCATAGGTGGGAATTGAACAATGAGAACACTTGGACACAGGAAGGGGAACATCACCCACTGGGGCCTGTTGTGGGGTGGGGGTAGCGGGGAGGGATAGCATTAGGGGATATACTTAACATAAATGACGAGTTAATACTATGAGTATTTAATTATATCAATAGGAGAACACAATTTCTGTTGTGTGTATAGTGCTGAAGGTCTCCATTTATTCATGTTACTGTGCGTGATAGATGAGTTTAAACCAGATGCTGTAACTTTCTTGCTATTTGGCCAAATTATTTAAATCATATTCTTTGAAAATTCAGAAAATACCCTCCTGAACATCATTAAGGAAACTTCACCCATGGAATCTGTTTACAGACTTTTCTAAGGATGCTATACAAATTAACACACATGCACACACACACACAACTCTGTGTAAACATTTCCACCCCTTGATGTAAACTAATATATACTACTATATTGATCTTACCCTTGCGCACTTTTCCAGGTCTGTCTTTTCTACCTTTCAATGATGCTTGCTTGAATATGTAATTACTACTGTTTATTTTATATTTGCCACTGCACACTCAGACATTATCTAATGATGCAATCCAAAGTTTTTTGTCTGGCAGCTTTCTTTTTATATGACTGCAGTTAAGGTATGGGCTCTGGTCCTGTTCTACTGTTTTTGATAAAGGTGATTTTACATTTAGAGTATAACATCTTTTAAAGAAACCCATTCCTATTTTGAATAAGATAAATACATTTTATATGTAAACCAACACTTTGCCTAGCACCTAGAATAATCAATAACTTACACATAGTAAGGACACAAAAAATACCAACATGGCACATGTATACTTATGTAACAAACCTGAACGTTGTGCACATGTACCCTAGAACTTAAAGTATAATAAAAAATATATATATAAATTATTAAAAAGACACATCCTTTATTATACATAGAAGGAAAAACATATGTATAAATGCACCTAATTGTGCCAGTAATATCAGAGACTGAAAGTCAAAAAAATCAGAGTACGTTTCTTCTTTTTGTCAATCGAGTACTTTAACAGAAACTGTGGTAAATACCACTACCTGTCCAGCAAATTCCATTTTTTTTTTCTTTCTGTGGAATAGAATTAGAGCCAAGCACATGACTGGACTCCATTCCCCATCCTCCCTGAAGGTGAATATGGCCACACTACTAAGTTTCTCCAATGTTACAAAAGTTGAGGCTTCTGATAAGGGCATATGTGCCCATTCCACTCTGACTTTCCGCTTTATCTCTCTGGAAGTGACAGCTGACAATGTCACAGAAAAGGGTGGAGCCCAAAATTCCTTGTATTACCATATTGAAAGACAGCTGCCTACCAACCAGGAATGTCTATTTTGTGTCATTATTGAACAATAAATAAATTCCTGCTGTGTTTATATCATTAAGCATTTTGGGTTCTGGTTGTTACTGCAGTTTAGCTTACCGTTACTAATACAGAAGTAATTTAATACATTGAAATTTTTGTGCAAAAACATCAACAATTTGTAAATATTTTGCTTTTTCATTAAGAAAGTAAGAATTTAAAAATTCAGTCATTAAAAACATTAAGCACGTAGAGTTCTAATTTTGCTATAACCTCTAAATATGCTAACTCTTTATATTCTTATTTTGGCTACTTGGCTGGGAATACTAGCTATATGGTATGGTGATTACATTTTCTATCACTTTTAATTTTATTTTATACTTTTTTTGTGTTTATAGTTTCCCTCACAGAAACTGTAAAACTCTTCAGGGTCATATCATGTATGTTTTATAGATGGTCCATCCCACCTAGTATATACTAGTTACGTGGTAGTTTCACAGCAGATGCGATAAATAAAATTGAGAACTTTGGTGTTTTTTATCATTATTTCCTCTCATATATACCAGTCTTTGCCCATAAGGTAATTCTATGAAAAAGGATAATGATATTTATCTCAGGCATTAAAGCAAAAATTCACAATTTTCATATATTCTTTACATTGTAAATGAAGATACTAATATCTATTTTAAAATTAGTTACAACACTAGTTTATCTTGGGAGTTGCTTTGAGATATTTAATATTTTTCCCTCTGATAGTTAACACAAAACTTACAAAAGAAACAAGTGTGAATCTCAGTGATCTCACACATTGTGTTATTATAAATTACTTTATAACAGGTCATCACTACAGAATTAAAACAAAATGAATGTGAACAACATTATATTAGTATAATAACATTAAATTCTAATTTTTTCAGCACAATATTTCAAAAATAAACTACTTTGAGAATAAAGCAGTTACAAATAAATTGAATAGGTTTCAAATAATTTCCATTTAGGCAACTTTTCATTCTAACCATAAATAGTATAAACATGCAAGCACAGGCTTTGAATGCATATAGATGAAAATGAAATACTTACTTTTAAATAACCCAGCCTAATCACAATATTGAAAATAGTGATCTATCATCAACCATTGAAACTGCAGTAAAACATTTTAATATTCTGAATTTATTTTATTTTTCATAATCTACTTTACCAGTGTTAATAATAATTACTACCTGGACAAAACAGGATCCATATTGTTTATTACTTTTTATGTGGTTAAATAACCAATTGAATCAACACATTGTGAAATATAAACCGAATCATGTGCCTTTTTCCTCAGAGTTCTTATTTCATTCGTGGTTAACATCATCTTTTTTTAATTTTTTTTTCACTTGTTTTAAGGCTACAATTAGAAACATGCTTATATAATCAAACACTGCCTAGTGTATTGTGTAACTATAAATAAACAATAATTCTTAGTTCTTTCCTTATGTCATCACACACTGCATTTGATTATTAATAATATTAATAACTTAGCATCATCGTTTACACAAACTTGCTCTTTTGCTGTGTCATTTTCAACGTCAGTGCTGGCATCCTGTTGAGTCAAATGGAAGAACATGCCCAGTGATGTCTTAAAAACAAATCAACAAAACTTAGAAAGAAACGACCAGAAACAGCTAGACAGTTTGCCAAACATTCAGATGCCAAGAATTCTGTACAGCAATTCAGCTCTTTTACTAGAATAAAATATGCAGGAGTAGGGACATTAGTCTTTTGAAATACTTTTCACCACATGTAGTTATGCTAGCAATTTTTGTTAAAGTTAATGAAAAATCTGTTACAGACCCTAGGCACTATCACAGATATGCCGTTCTTGGATCCCTCTCTCAGGCCAATAGGGCTGCCGTACTGGCTGGCACGCTCTTCGGAGAAGTTTTGTGGAATTTGAGATGGTAATTCTTCGTGTAGGTAATGCAAGCAAAGCCTATGTTACCAGAGAACTAGGAAATATGAAAATTTGTCATTTATTCTTTTTTTTCTATTTCTTCCCAAAAGTCATGAGTAATAATGTATACTTTAATTTGCTATGCATATTACTTTACTACTTTTATGCCTTTTACTTTCCAGTTTCTACAATATATGAAAATATTCTAGGACCTTATATTTAGAGCTTTCATCTTACAGATTCTTTCTTATCCATAAAGAAATTTACATTGCCCTCAGGTTTACCCTAACACAATTTGCAAGTATGATTCGGGTAGGGAGAAAGGTAACAAGTTTTCACCTTAAATTTGCTCAGGTTAAAAAAAAAATACACACAATGAGGGCCAAGAAAAAAACATTGATTGATGTGACAATTTTTTTTCTTTTTTTATCGACAATGTAGTCTGCTATAAAAACAGATTGGGATTTTTTTCCATTATATTTGAGGTATTGCCTTATATTAGAATTATTAAAATCCCTGTAGTTAATGGTGTAAGTTATATATTAAGTCTGGAAAACAAGCATCATAATTTCTCAAACAATACAAAATTAGGGTAGACTTTACAGTCTTTGTGGAAATTAAGTCTAAGTGGTTAGAGTCACTGAATTGTCACTTTCATAAGGAAGGCTGAAAATAGGGCAGACAACCTCTCCTCAAACGACTGCATCTCCACCATGTTTAATGTGTTTCAAATCCTGTAAGTTATTCCATTCTTTTCTAACTATAAAAGTCTATAAACTAATTATGAGCATGGTTAAGAAAATCTAAACAGAGAGTAATATTTAAACATTTATTATAAAAAAGTAATCATACACAATTCAATACACAGCTAGCAGTTATTAATATGATTATTTAACTTATAGATTTTTACATACTCTTCTTCCTTTTCTATAACATTACGAACACCCCAAAAATGAGTCACACTGCTTGTATGCATGTTACTTGGTAGGCTGTTTACAGAGAACAGTGGTTTCCAACATTGGCAAAATGTGTATTTTTGGTTGGCCCCCAATTTTTATACCTAAGAATGAATATAAAGGAATTTAGTGAATGAAGTAAGTGATCGGGATTTAAGGAATTAGCAATAAGGATTTCATCACAGTATTATTTATGATATGAAAAGGTTGATAATAGCCTAAAAGTAAATAAATTAAATAATGAGTAGAGTATTATTTGGTCACTAAAATGATATTGTACATATTTCATTATGTACGTGGAAAGATAGTCACATAGTATCAGGCAAATTTAAGCTTAAAAATAATGTGTGGAATATCAGCTTACATTTTATAAAACAAACATGGATATAAAAATTTCTGGGAAGATATACAATCTGTTGATTTTAAAAAGTAATGATCAGACATCTAATACTAGAAATAACTCTCTGTTATAAAACTTAGTTGTAACATATTGCACATTTACTTCACTCCTTTTCTGAATTATTATTATTATTTTTTGCTGGGAGCGAAAAATGCTTGATAATTAAATGCAAAATGCTTTAACATCTACTGAGTGTTAAGGTAGAATTAACAAAACATTTACGGCTTACGTAAAGCCAAATTTATTTGCAGTCTTTCTACTGGCATCAGGCAATCAAAAAGATAAAAAATATCAGTGATGTGATAAAGGCTGTAGCTCAGGAACCCATATAAATGTTTTGTTAATTCTACCTTAACACTCAGTAGATGTTAAAGTATTTTGCATTTAATTATCAAGCATTTCTCTTTCCCAGCTAATAATAATAACAATTTAGAAAAAGAGTGAAGTAAATGTGCAATATATTACAACTAAGTTTTATAACAGAGAGTTATTTCTAGTATTAGATGTCTGATCATTACTTTTTAAAATCAACTTTGTATACCGCAATGAAAAGAATTTTGAAACTAAATGTAGCTCAAAGAATACCTCTTTCTTGGTTTTGCTCCATTGATCATAGTTTCCTTATTAAGCATAGGAAGTTGTGCTTGGAGTTGCCTTAAATTGTGTCATGTCAATCAAATTGAGTTTAGGAGGAAAATGTTTTGAAATACTAAAATAAATGGAAATAAAACCTTAAAGAGTCTCCTCTTCATGCACTGCGTGTTATCCTCCTGATAATACCACAGAGCTTATGTCAAACTCTGCGGACCTGCTCCAGAGGTACGTCTAGCCCACAGTGTGTGAGCAGTGAAGTTTGGGCACTCTTAGAGTTTGAACAGATAAACTTCGGAAGTTCAGTGAATCATTTCAGCCAACGTGGAAATGTCAGTAGCTGAAATCTTAGTAAAAACAATAAGTAGTCTGAAATACTAAACTCACATGAAAATTTGTTTTCACTTTAAACATATTTTTTGGCTTTTTGTACATCGAATACAGGTCATATCTGTTGCCTATATACTTGTAGATTAAAAAAAAAAACAACGATGTCAGCACTGCAAACTATAATTGTGATCAACATATATGATGGGTATAGTTGCTTTTTCTTTTTGAAAGCAGACACTGTTTATTCCAGGTTACAAAAATAATCACAGCAAACACCTTAGTTCATCCTTCTAAGGCTTTTGATCTGGTCTTCCCTGTTGTCAGCATCTCCGCCTTCTACAAAATGAGTGGTCTTTTTCTTTATTGAACATCCTGGAGAGGATGATTTGAAGGGCCACAGGGAGTTATCTGTTTCTTTGAAGCATTTTCTAACAGTACAGATCTCATGAATGAGGTACTACATGCTGATGATGTCATATTTACCAAGAGATCGACCAAAGTGTTAACTGTCAAGGCAATTCACTTCTTACTGATTTTGCCATAATCATGCTTATAGATTAGTTCATTTACTGACTTCAGGTTCGGGTACTCCCATGCAAAATAGGGTTCTACAATTCTCAGCATGTTAATTGAAGCCTCGTTGAGGTTAAAAATTTCCTTTCAAGACCTGATGAAGGCAAAGAAGCTGGAATACCTTTTGGACCTTTGTACTCATACCGTTAATACTTCTGATCCTGATGACAAATGTCAATTTGGGTTCAGCAGGTACATAGAAGTTGTCAGTTTTTCTTGCCATCCTATCCAATCAAATATCAGTTCTATACATTTGCCTATATTCTTTGGAACAGTGCTTCACTTTTTCATAAGTTTCCTCCTTGCCTTCAGAAGCATCTTTTGGGTTAAACTTTTTTCTCAGGCATTTGATCTTCAGGACTGCAAAATTCCTTCACTTTTTCTTAAGAGTTTCTGGCACAGCAGGAACCTTCTTCTTCCCTTTGATATCCTTCTTGATTCCAGCCAGAAAGGAGTGGTTGCTTTTTCCCTTTAAGAAGTTGTCATTTTTTCAAAGCATTGAATTAAGTATTTCCATGGTGGTAAGAAATACAGAGAGGGCCTGAAAATTCACTGACAAGGCAAAAAGTTGACAGTTGTTTGTGGGCAAGCATCTTTTTCTTAAATAAAAAGTGTGAGTTAAAGAAATGAGCAAAAGATGTAGGTGAGCCAGATGGATACAACTTTCATTTTATGTTTTTCTCACACCTGTATAAAACATTGTTCTAGTTCAAGGTATTGGTGTGAATATTCAAGTCCCAATCAAGCCACCCCAGAATGTTAAGATTAATAATGCATGTCAAATAAGAACAGCAAACATTATGGATCCAGGTGTAAATGTTATTTGTCTTGTTTCTAGCTTTCCTGAGTATTTTTTTCTTTCTCTGCCAATTAACTTTTTTTTTTTTTTACAGGAAGTAATCTTTTATTCCATTGGTGAGATGTGTTTCTAATCTTTCACTCCATGCAGAATAGCACCATTAAGGAAACTTAACTTTCTTTTCTTTTTTTGAGATATAGATTTTTTTTTAAGCCACAGGTTTAATGTGCTGCCCTTGACCTGAGAAGAAAATCTTGGATTTGTCTTTAGAGGAGGGATTTTGCTATGCCCCAGGGTGTTTATGACCAAAGCACATATTTGCTTCCTTCGTCACTGCTGTGAGGTTATCATGTGCAACTGGGTTAAACAAATAAAAAATACATTCCTATCACACACACACCTCTGAGTCCAGATAAAACAAAAGAACAGGACCATAAATGTCATCATTAGCTTGATTTCATGTATATGTACATATATTAAATGTGTGTTTGGTATGTACATATTTGACAATGAGTCGAAAAATATTCTACTATCATCTTTAATAACTCTTATGTAAGCAAAATGTGGCATGAAGTGATGTGATCCAGAACTCTGAGTAATCCCAGCCACAGTTTACTAGGATTTTCAGTAGTTATTGAGGCCTATGAATGTGTGTAGCTTTTCTTTAAGTCCTTCTGAAAACAGGTCTGTCCTTGAGGTGTCAGATTAACACTCCACTCAGAAGACAAATTGTTTGTGGGCACACTGGACATATGAGAGCCATTAGAGAGTGTGCTCTGCATTCTTGAAAAATGAAAAATTCTAGGCAACATTACATCTTATAAATGCAAGATGTTTATTATTACAGTACCAGCAATAAATGTTTAGAAACTGGAGAGGGCTCACAATGGTCCTGACTAGGAACATATGCCTATCAAGTTCATTGGAAGCGGAGCCATTGCTTTTTGGCATTAAGCAAAGGGTCTGGAAGCTATTATGCATTTAGGCTTCTATGAGTATTTAATTATATCAATAGGAGAACACAATTTCTGTTGTGTGTATAGTGCTGAATGTCTCCATTTATTCATGTTACTGTGCGTGATAGATGAGTTTAAACCAGATGCTGTAACTTTCTTGCTATTTGGCCAAATTATTTAAATCATATTCTTTGAAAATTCAGAAAATACCCTCCTGAACATCATTAAGGAAACTTCACCCATGGAATCTGTTTACAGACTTTTCTAAGGACGCTATACAAATTAACACACACACACACACACACACACACACACAACTGTGTATAAACATTTCCACCCCTTGATGTAAACTAATATATACTACTATATTGATCTTACCCTTATGCACTTTTCCAGGTCTGTCTTTTCTACCTTTCAATGATGCTTGCTTGAATATGTGATTACTACTGTTTATTTTATATTTGCCCCTGCACACTCAGACATTACCTAATGATGCAATCCAAAGTTTTTTGTCTGGTAGCTTTCTTTTTATATGACTGCAGTTAAGATATGGGCTCTGGTCCTCTTCTACTGTTTTTGATAAAGGTGATTTTACATTTAGAGTATAACATCTTTTAAAGAAACCCATTCCTATTTTGAATAAAATAAATACATTTTATATGTAAACTAACACTTTGCCTAGCACCTAGAATAATCAATAACTTACACATAGTAAGGACACAAAAAATATATATCAATTGAACGACTGATGAATGAGCTTATGAAAGCCTCCAAACAAAAGAAAAAACAATAAATATACAAGTATTTCCTAAGTAGTCGTTTTCTACCATAAAGTATTTCTTTTATTTTTATTTTTTAAATGGACAGATACAATGTCATGCATTTACCATATACAACATGATGTTTTCCATGTATAAATCCATAGGAGGTAATGCATTTGTTAATTAGCTATATTGAACCATTACTATGTAATTCTGATTTAAGTAAGGTTTTTGTTCTTGAATTGTTCTGTTGGCCTATTGGCTTGGGAGGAACCATTGTTGGGATTTGGAATTTATAATTCCATTTAAGTTTATACTTTATTCAAGCTTCTGGATCATTACTACCCGATAGGTAATGCTGGTCATTATTTTTTAGGCATGTGCTGTGCCCACATATTTCTTATCTTTTTTGTGGCTTCAGATACATGATCTATTTGTTCCATTTGCAGTTCTTTATTACTGCATGACAGACTCCATGACAGAGAGTATCTTGGGAGACTGAAAACAACAAGCTCTGAAGTCAGATTTAGCAATAGCAATAAGTTGCCTCATTTCTAAAATAAGAATAATTGTATTACTTGGGTAATTACTTTGAAAAATATAGAAATAATGAATATAAAGGAGCTACCAACATAAATATTATAAATTAGACTCCTTCATTAGGTAAGCTACCAGTAATATCTCCTAGAAAACAATCATCACCAATCGTCTTTGGGCTCTGAATGGGTATAATTTTGTCATGGTGCACACAATATTACTTATCCTTGGTAACTGGTTAAAAAAAAAGTGAGTCCAAATAATTTTAAATAGCAAAATAGTTACTAAAACTGAAATTCAATAAAAAGTAAATGTGAAAAGGATAAATCAATATAAAAACATCATATTTGCGTTTTCATTCTTGTTTTTTCCTCTTCCAATGCATTAGATGAAAGTTAAAATTCTGAATCTAGTATAACAGCATCAATGACAAATTTAAACGTGCAAGTCAGAGGCAGTTGAGGGAGTCAAAAAAGTTAAATAAGACTAACAAAAAAAGGAAATCTTAAAAAAGTTAAATGGTAAGACATTGTACTTACTGTCAAGACATGGCAAATACCAGTTTTCAAATTCAGGAAAATTTTCCACATGGGTGGCATGAAACACAGGAGAAGAAGGTAATTTGCCAGTGTTATAAGCGTAAGCCCATGTGTGAAAAAAATGAATAAAACAGAAGAACAAGGGAGAATAACAAAGCTAGGTCATTACTGTTGGGTTGGGAACCAGATGATGAAGAGTCCAAATGCAACATAATTGTGCATTTAAACTATGAAAAGGTTTAATTCCTTTAATATGTTTATATGTATTTTTTTTCTCTTGCTACATTTTTCCTGCCCTGCATGATAGTCCTTGACATAGATTGAAGGCATGGTGGGGGTGGGGGATGGAAATTAACACCAAACAAAATAACCATCTTGTTATTTAGTAATCCCTCCTTCTGTGGTATTCTAGGAATTCAGATAACTCATTAACAGATATCTTTTATTTACAGTGCCTCAAGCAAGAGGAGTACTTTCTTTTTAAATGTTTATGGTAGAAGAACATCAAGTATAGTTGTCAACAGACTTCTTAATATTACTGGTTGTGCCTGTGCCTCCAAAGCATGGATTTGATAGCTCCAATATTGTAATCTAAATTTCCTGGTAAGAATTTTGTTATTTCATTACTTGTTTATGGTAAAACAAAGTCTTGGTACTTTTTAATAGCTCTGACACCTTATTTCTGATAAAACAAATATGCTTTAATTTCTTGGCTTGTCTTAATTTGGTTTAGTTTGCAAATAATTCCATGACTTAAACATGCGTGATTAATACTAAACACCATGAGAATATCAAATAATATTTGTTACAGTAGTAGGAGTGGGAGCAGGAGGAGTAATAGCGTCAGTGACTAACATTATTTGTTTTCAAATTCCAGATTTTGTTCTATGTACTCCATATGTATCATCTAATCCTGAGTAAATGCCCATTTTAAAGATGAAATAACAGATGTTTTAAAACCTTATGTAATTTGCCCAATGTCACCTAGCAAGTAAGTGGCAAAGTCAGATTGGATATTAATACTTTTACCTGTTAAGATATATAAACTATTTTTTCTCTTATTAAGCTTATAATTTAGTTAAGATAATTATTTCCTCTATTGAAAAAAAAACAGTCTCTTGAAAACTGTTTTTGAATATTTTATATTTAGTTGTTATTCATAGGCCTGGCCTTCATTAGATCATGACTATGACACAAAATCATCTTTTTTTTTTTTTTTTTTTTTTGCCTATGACAATTTTATAGTACTACACAAGAGGGGAGTTTAACACTGCTTTCCTGTCATCCAGAATATCAACTTCTACTTCTTTTGCCACTTGCTAATGGAGCTGGAACTCAGCAGGGCTTGCTTGATAATGGAGCATTCTACAATGAATGCATCACATGCTGCCTGTCCCCAGAGTGTACTGCCTTTACATAGTGCTACTACTGCTGCTTCTACTTCAGAATACTGTGCTGTCCTTGACTACTTTGTCAGGTTCATGGAGAAAGACCATTCCATCATGCATGGGAGTGAGATTTTCCCTGGGAAGTCATAAATTACAGCCAGGAGTACTGTAAGTATCTGACTTGAGGTGAGGAGGAATATACTCTAAATCCAATGGGAGGCTGAGCCTACACTCTGAGGTATGTAGAGTTCTGGATCTCTGCCGATAATGGAGTGAGCCAGCATAACTAGCGAGAAACAAATAGACCAGGAGTGGGCAATAGGAGTGAGCAGTAATACCAAGACTCAATATTTAATGAGAGGTGGCAATACAATAAATCAATTCTGCTTAAGACTATTTTCCAAAGAGATTACTGGGTGTTCTTTCCATGAAGTGTGGTGTGACGCTTAATTGACCCTCTACAGGTTATCTGATTCAATTAGAGTTTGGTTTTCTATTGAAAAATAGCCCAAAACTCTCACCTTCAATATAAAACACTCTCCACCTTCAGCCAGGTAGTTTCAGGTAATAGATGACAATGGGATAGACAGAAGCAAAGTCTCAAAAAATTCTGGATCAAGGGTTTATGTTCACAACAGAACCTAGTAATACAGGTTCATTTTTGAATGCAGAGTAAGAAGTTGTGGTTGAAGTTTATCAACTAGAGGGTCCATAAAAACATATACATTATAAAAGTAGACTTTCATCCAAGAAACAGAAATATATACATCACATCATTTCCTGAACATTAGGAATCCATTTTTGAAAATTCAGAGGTTCTGCATGAAAATACTAACTGGGGGCCTATATTAGTTTCATGTGGCTGCTGTAACAAATTACCACAAACTGGGTGGCTTAAAACAGAAATTTATTCTCCCACAGTTCTGCAGGCCAGAAATCTGAAATCGGTATCGCTGGACCTAAAACAAGGTGTTAGCATCGTTGCACTCTCCAGAGTCTCTACAGGATAATCCATTTATTGTCTTTTCCAGTTTCTGGTTGCTATCAGCATTCCTTGGCTTGTGACCATATAATCCAACCTCTGTCTCCCTGTACGCAGCCTTCTCCTCTCTGTGCATGTCTAATTTACCTCTGCCTCACTTTTATAAAGATACATGTAATTGCCTTTAGGGTCCACTCAGATAATTCAGAATAACCTCCTCATCTCCAGACCATTAACTTAATCATATCTACAAACACCTTTTTTCCAAATAGCGAAACATTTAAAAGTTACAGAAATTAGGATTTATTATAGTATCTAGAGAATATTATTCAGCCTAATACAGGATGTATTTTCTGTTAAGTTGGAAAAATGATAACAGGCTACATGTATAAACCAAGACTCTCAGGCGATACCATATGACTAAAACATGGTAAAACACTTTCGTGTAAGAAATACACTACCATGTAAATATATAAAATATGTACTTAAAATGCTACTTCCTGACCATTATCTTATGAATATAGTTATTAAAATGGAGTTTTATTGTTTGTGTGTGTGTGTTTATACTCTACTAGGAGAGTATAAACCAGGAATATATTCTGTGGGGCATGCCTGTAATGAGAATGTTGTTTTCTGAGAATTGCCTATAGCTGTGTCATAATGACAAACATGATAAATGGGAGAGAAGCAGTTGTTCCTTAGAGAGAAAGAATGAACAGATGACCAATGTGACAAGATTGTAGGTTTTACATCCACCAAGATGTATCTGGGAGTCTTTAAACCATTAAGAAAAAAAAAAAATTAAAGTCCGATGGTGGGAGAGTCAATCCTAAAACTGATCTGCCTTTCACTCAACCCAAATAACACTTCTCAATTGTGTGTGTATGTGTGTGTGTGTGTGTGTGTGTGTGTGTGTGTGTGTTGTGCTGTGCTTTGATTCAGTTTGTTTTTTACTCTAGGACTCTAACGATTTTGACTTTCTGATTCTGGAAGATACATTATTCAAAATACATCTAAAATTTATTCAATTTACTTCATTTCTGCTACTACCACTCTGGTCTAAGCTATCACCTTTTGCCTCAATTGCTCTAATAGTCTTTTAACCTGTCTCCTTTATTCCACTCTTGCTTCTCTACAATTCATTTCCCACACAGTGATCATTTAAACATGTAAATCAGATTATTTCAGTTTACCAATTGCAAGCCCTCTAATTTTGGGATTTAATCCAAAGTTGTACTGTGATGCTGGATGATGTGCCCCCAGCTCGCCTCATCTCCTACCACTCCTTCCCCCTCTCACTAGCCACATTAGCCTTCCTTCTGTTCATCATTAACTATGCTGAGCTTATCTCCACTTCCAGAGATTGCTGTGTCCTGGGCTGGAAGGTAATTAATTCCCCCATAAAATACACCACTGTTTGGAATCATGCAAGTCTCAGCTGATCTTGAGACAGCCCTGTCATGTCGGTCCAATCTAAAGCAGGCTCTGAACCCCAGTCACTTGTGAATGCCTTGCTCTGCTTTATTTTTTTCCAGGGAATCATCATCCTAAGAATTGATCTTATTTATTCACTTGCTTATAGTTAGAAAGCACCACAAAACAGTTACTGCTCTGTTTATAGGGATGAGAATAGTTTCACTTGCAACTTCGCTTTTAAGAAGAGAATTCTTTCTGTCTTGGTTTTAAACACTAACTCATTAGTCTGTCTATACTGCTGGGCTAAGGCATTTCTTAAGGACAAACTTAGGCACAAGGCCACACTGCAAGTATATATGTGGTTTCTTTAGAATATCAAATCCTAAGGTGTGTCAATATTGAGAGTCTGCTGAAATTGTTCAAGGGATTTAACTGGTACATCAAAAATGGGTTTTAGGATGCCCAAATATTTATCTTTTAGTTTTGGAGTCTGTTGTTTGAGATCTAGGATGTCTCAGGAGGGTGTCATGACAATCCTCTTGTGTTTACCCAAGTATGCAAGGTAAACAACAAATGAATCATTTTCTGAGTTGCCATGACATTTAAGGAATGTTGAGAAGTACTGCACAGACACAACTAAATCCTTGCTGTGCCCTTCATAAATACCTATGCCTTTCCTGGTACAGAAGACATGCTCCAGTGCTCTCCTGACCCTTGTCTCGGTCCATTCGTGTTGCTGAAACAGAATATCATGGACTAGATAGCTTATAAACAACAGAAATAGATTTCTCACTTTTCTAAATCTAAGATCAAAGAGCCAGCAGGTCTGGTGTCTGGTGAGGGTTTGTTTACTGGTTCATTGATGGTGCCTTCTTACTTAGTCCTCACATAAATTCAGCTTGCAAACAAGCTGAGGGATCTTGCCACATTTATGAGGGCTCTGTCTTCATGACCCAAATACTTCCCAAAGGCCCCACCTACCGATATCATCTCCTTAGTGGATAGGATTTTAATGTATCAATTTGGTGGCAACACACACTTTCAGACCACAGCACTCCTCAAATTCCTGGACTTTTGGTAAACCAGATGGAAGTTATCATCATATTTAACAAAAATTGCAATAATGGTACAGTGCCTGCTACAATTTATATAGTCTTTGAATATTGTTGTTGGCATTAACAGTGAATTTTTATAAATAAAAATAAATAATTTTATTGGTTTGAGGTTGATGAAACCAAACAGAAGAGTCAGTAAACCCCATTTGATAAAGGAAAACATACAGGAAATTTTAAAACAAGCAAAACAAAAATATAAGCAAAAACAAAAACAAAAAAAAAAACACAGTTTAAAACAAGTTATAAGTGGCATTTATTTTTTCTGTATGTAATGCCAGAAACATATATATTAGTGCCACAGATTCTTTTAGGTTGCCCAGGATGTTAAAGTTACCTTGTCCTTTTTGTTCTAAGTATCAACTAGGTTGAAACACCATTTCACATCCCAGCTCCCGTCAACATGCCTTGGGTCTAGTAAGGGGCTTGAACTTTTGTGCCTGATCATATGTGGTCCCTATTTATTGCTTCACAGCAAACTCTTCATCTCCCTCAAGTCTTTCTACATATGGCTGTTTCTGTCTTTCCTCTCATGTCACCCAAATCAGTCCCTCTTCCACCCAGCTGTTGAGTAGGAGACTTCTACTAAAGATTGAGGAGTAACAGAAACACAGTGGGTGTACAAGAAATAGTGCTGCATCAATGAGCAGCACGTAATTTAAATTGGTACATTATACAGCCTTCTTTACCCTTAAAAATGTGAGGTCAGTTCCACAACTGAAAAAATATTATTTTCACTTCTGGGGCCATCTCTGAATTCACAATATCCCAGGCACCTGTATATTTCTTCATAGAAAATTACAAATTACACATTTCTTTACATTTCTTTATTATTATTATTATTATTATTATTATTATTATTATTCGTTCTTGTTGCCCAGGCTGGAATGCGATGGCGCGATCTGGGCTCACCGCAACCTCTGCCTCCCGGGTTCAAGCGATTCTCCTGCCTTAGCCTCTTGAGTAGCTGGGATTACAGGCATGCACCATCATGCCCAGCTAATTTTGTATTTTTAGTAGAGATGGGGCTTCTCCATGTTGGTCAGACTGGTCTCGAACTCGTGACCTCAGGTGATCCGCCCGCCTTGGCCTCCTAAAATGCTGGGATTACAGGCGTGAGCCACCGTGCCAGGCCGCCTCTTTACATTTTCATTTTCAGCCAGCTTCTCTAGTCTAGGCACTTACATAAAACTGCTTTTTCACAAATTGAAGACCCATCAAGGTAATCCTCCAATCAGTTCTTAAAAATTAAACTTTTCCTGCCCTCTCTCTAAGATTCATAATTATTTAATATATTTGATAGTAGATCTTGTAAGAGCTGTAATGCTACATGAATCTTCATAATATAAACCAAGGTGTTTTTTTTCCATTATCCTAAATTAGTAGGAAAAAGGATTAGGTCTGAATTTAGTAACCAGATCCTAGTTAACATTTAAAATCTAGAGGCCCTGTTTATACACTTTGGCAGAAAACAAGGCCAACAGACAGAGCCCGGTGTGACCGCTCTGGAATGGTTTCTTCTTTCCCATTGAGCTGAGACATAGGAAAACTCTGTAGTAACTGGAATCAAGAACCAAATTGGGCAGTGAGTAAGATAAACACACTTTGGCTCAGCAACAGTTGAATTGATAAATGTCCACTTCAAGCCAAGCTGTTTTTAAAGAGCATATATTCCTTATGAAAATATCTGGGGGGCGGGAGGCAGAGTTTGCAGTGAGCCGAGATCTTGCCACTGCACTCCAGCCTGGGCGACAGAGCCAAGCTCTGTCTCAGGAAAAAAAAAAAAAAAAAAAAGCATATATATATATATATCTGGGTGGTACAGAGAGGTGAATCTTAGCTTAAAGAGGGTTGGCCTGGAAGACCTAAGAATACAAATATCAAATAAGTAGGGCCTTTAAAAAATATGGGAATTTATAGGGTGGTTTTCCAAGTGAAGGAAACCATACCCTTAAATGCATTTCCTTTTCTGTTCTTGAGTTTCTCAGTGGTAGAGCTACTCAATCCTCCATGCCTTATATTTCACATGTTAGTCTAATAACCTCAACTGGGAATGTCAGAGAGGTTAGACACAAGTTTAACATTGGGTACCAGACTTATATATCAGTAAAAAGACCAATTCTGTGGTTCTCTGACTTTTAAATTTCACTTAGTACATCTCAAAAATAAATATTAATTCATTATAGCTACTAAGTTTTGTAATTTGGATAAGTGAAAAGTTAAAAAATAACAACAAAAGGACCTCTACATATAATCATTTCACAAAAGCAAAAGAAAGGGTATTTTAACACCAGAAAGGGTAGAAAAGCTTCTTAGACAAATAATTAAAAAGTCCTTAAAAATAAGTGTAGCTTTGTAAAAACTTTTAAATATTATGTTCTAGCTTTCATTTGGCCTAGACCCAAGATGAATTATTCAGACTGACTCCAAAGTGCAAGCAAGTGATTGGGAATATTGGAATAGTTCTTTTATTTTATTTTATTTTATTTTATTTTATTTTATTTTATTTTTTTGTCACCACTTTTCTCACTATAATTACCTGGTAGAAACTTGCATCTTCAAGTGCACAGGTTCGCATAACTTCTCAGTCTCCTTCTGGTTTTCATTTGTTTATAACTTTAAACCACTACTGACTTTAAAGTGTTCAGCATAAAACCCAATTTGTGCTTTTATTCATTTACAACAGATGAGGTCAGAGTGAAAAGAGGGGCAGGTTATAGCTTCCCTTTTTTGTAGCCCCCTTTATTAAAATCACTTGCAGCATTTTTATAAGGTTCACACTTTTCTCTAAGATGTAATTTGTATAAACGATACTTTATTTAGAACTGTTTAGTAAGTAGTAAACCTGGGGCCTCAAAGTCTCTATAAAAAACTTACGGCCAAAATGACCTTCATCTAAATCACAATACAGAAACCTAATAATTTTTCAAACATGCAGAAGCCTTAAGCAGAATGAAATTCCAATAACATATGCTACAACTGATGACAATGAATGCAGCCAATCCTAAAAGAACCAAGAGGTATTGTTTACCAGGGTGAGAAACAAGATGAAAAAGACCTTACTACTCTTTTTGACTGAAAAGACATTGTCAGTCAGTCTGCCAAAGGACTGGTACTTAAAATTCATTTTAGACTTACAACTATGGGGATATTAGTAACTATTACAGATAACACACAAACACACACACACACACACACACACCCTTTATACATTTCTAATTCCAATTTTAATTTGAAAGTGATATGCAAGAAGCAGGCCATGAAACTGAAGGGCAAGACATGATAGGCATAACACAAATTAATGAGTAATTTTAATAAAGAAAAATGTATTGAAAGAAGGAAATTGTTAGATAGGGAAGCACATCTCCATCTTCCAGAATATGTCATTTTTTTCTTAGCATGTATGTCACTAGACCATGTAAAATTCCTGTCAACTATCCTCATACTTTGCAATTTAGCTTAAAATATACAGGATATACTATGGTAATAAATTGTGTTGGTCTAATAAGGTAATGTGTGAGCTGGATCGCTGAGTATGTCTTTATAGTAACAAGTATATAAAAAGTACTTTTAAAAATCACTTAGCAATGATGAAGTTCTTTTCACCATTTACATAAAATGCAAAATGTATTTTCTATTTTACACAGAAAAGTACAAGCAGATATAAAATTCCATGTGCATCACCAGTTATGCCCCATAGAAAATATTATTTGCATGACTAAAAATAAGTATGGAATTAAGTGGCATTTGGTAGAAGATAAACTAACTTCAAGAAAATCACAGCCTTTCAACAAAGAGTAGTTTGAGAAATTTTACATATTTAAAATTATAAAGTAATAAGACTTCAGTTTTGACTCAATTTGATACTGTTTCTCTTAAATGTTTTTTGTTTAATACAAAGAATTTATATTCTCAAATATAATGAAAGAAAATGGGTATAATTTTATGATTATAATAATGTTTTACATTTATGTAAAAGAGAAATGTCACTGACTCTAGTATAGAAAAAATTGAGAAAAACTGAATTTGTTTTTTTAAATAAAATAAATTCCTACTATTATTATATAATAAATATACATTGTAGAAAATAAATTCAGCAACAAAATTAATATTTTCCCAATCAAAAGCATAACTAGTATATTGAATTTCAGATCTTTTTATATATAAGTATTTATATTTTATTCTTTTTCTGATCTTATCTTACATTCTCTTGTGACCTGTTTTTTTTTCACCAGCATCTATTTTCATTTCTCTATTTCTGTAAAATTATAACTTTTTAATACATAATTTACATTTAAATTATCTTAATGGACTCCAAAATGTTCAAATCAGTGGCTAGTTCCAGACAAAATATTGTTTCTGCTTTTAATGTTTCTTAATCTTCTTTCCTCTTTATTAGACATTTCTTAAACCTCTTAATTTAGGATGTTTTTCTACTGTCTCTTCTTAGAAATGTTTTATCACTGAGAATTTCTAACATTTATAAAATAGAATAGGATGACTCCCTGTGCACTCATCAACTAATTTCAACATATGTTAACCCAAAGACACACTTTCTGTCCCTGCATAAAACAAAACTAAATTATTTGCAGTAAATCCTAGTCTTAATATTATCGTATCATTTTTTTTTTTTTTTTTTTTTGAGATGGAGTTTTGCTCTTGTTGCCCAGGCTGGAGTGCAATGGCGCAATCTTGGCTCACCACAACCTCCACCTCCCGGGTTCAAGCAATTCTCCTGCCTCAGCCTCCTGAGTAGGTGGGATTACAGGCATGCGCTGCCACGCCCAGCTAATTTTGTATTTTTGATAGAGACAAGATTTCTCCATGTAGGTCAGGCTGGTCTCAAACTCCTGACCTCAGGTGATCCGCCCACCTTGGCCTCCCAAAGTTCAGGGATTACAGGCGTGAGCCTCCGCACCTGGCCTCCTATCACTTTATCTGTAAAACTCCAGTTATATCTCTGTAAGACAGGTGCTCTTTTAGGGAATAGAATGATGGTCACTAGAGGCTGGGACAGGTAGTGCAGGGGGTTGAGGGATGAAGGCATATGGTTAGTGGAAACAAAATGTACTTAGATAGAAGGAATAAGAAATAGTGTTTGGTATCACAGTAGGATGACTATAGTTAGAAATAATGTATGTATATTTCAAAATAACTAAAACAGTGGAATTAAAATGTTCCTAACACAAAGAAACGGCAAATGCTTGAGATCAATACTCCAGTTACCTTGATTTGATCTACACCTTGTATCCTAATATCAAATTATCACATGTATGCCATAAATATGTACAATTATTTATTCATGAAAATGAAAATTAAAAAATTTATAAACAACAATAAAGCAAAAAGATGCTCTTTTAAAAATATAACATAATAACATCAATATACATACTATGTATATGTAAACATGTGGATATGGGTTTTTTAAGTATCTAAAAAGATATGTACATGTACACACACATTTCCTGTACATGTGTTTGTATGTGTAATTACATGTGTCAGAATAAAAGTATTAATATAATGAATAACATATAGTAGACTAAAAATATCTATTGAATACAGTATATTAATATTTTTAAAATTGTTTTTGTACTTGTGCTGTATGTATAGGGGTGTACAGTCAAATTATCATGTTTTAAAGGCATTTGGAATAATTTCACTATGTGTGGTTTTATCATCAATTCAATACATAGTTTAATTTGCTTCACTTTGTTTCAGGTTTTAAGAATTGCTATTTTTTCCCCACTTAAAATATTTTTTAGAATTATGCAAAACATTTACATGGATATAGAATAAAAATCTACAAAACAAAGTACAGTAGGAGAAGTCCAACTCTTATTTCTTTCCCTCTAATCTTTGTCTCTCCTTGTGCCATAGGTATCTGTGTGTGTGTGTGTGTGTGTATATATATTTGTATATATATGCGTGTGTGTATATATATTTATATACGTGTGTGTGTGTGTGTATATATATATATATATATACACATATATATATATATATATATATATATATTTTTTTTTTTTTTTTTTTTTTTTTAATGGAGTCTCACTCTGTCACCCAGGCTGGTATGCAGCAGCGCGATCTGGCCTCACTGCAACCTCTGCCTCCCGGGCTCAAGCGATTCTCCTGCCTCAGCCTCCCGAGTAGCTGGGATTATAGGCACACGCCAACACACCCAGCTAATTTTTGCATTTTTAATAGAGACGGGGTTTCACCACATTGGCCAGGCTTGTTTCGAACTCCTGACCTCAGGTGATCCACCTGCCTCAGCCTCCCAAAGTGCTGGGATTACAGGTGTGAGCCACCATGCCCGGTCGTTATCTGTACATTTTCTAAATTTAAAATTATTTTCCAGCTTTTAACATACCTATATACATATGCATATATTAACGTAGTCAATACATGTTGCCTATATCCTAACATTTTGCTATTTACATATAATATCCTGCATATGTTGTCTCTTTCTTAAACAATCACATATTATACCCATTTTTCTTGAACTTGCTTTCTATATCTAACAATATATATTGGAGAAAACTTCTTAGTAGTTTATTGAGGTATTCCGTTTGTCATTTTAGTATTATCTAGATTTCTATTGTGTTACTATACTGTGTTTATTCAAGCAACTCCCGTATCATAGTAATGTGCATTTGTTTTTTCCCAGTTTTTACAATTCAGATATTGCAGCATAAGTGGCATTGTACATATTGTTCTCTTTTTCATATTTTTGTCAGTATATCTTTGGGACATGTTCTTCAAAGTGGGATTGCTGGGTCACCAGACAAAGGCATAAATGTTGCTAGACTTTATTAAATTTCCCTTCAAAGTGGTTTTGAACATTTTGCATTTTCATCATCAGTGTATGAGACTGTTTTATTCATCCTTACCCACAGAGGACATTGTCAAACTTCTGGATTATAGCCAATTCAATATGTAAGAAATTGGATCACAGAGTATTTTAATTTGCAATTTTCTTATTATGAACAAAGCAGAACATTTTTTCATATCTTTAAAGACATTTATATTTTCATTCTTTTTTACCTATCTGTATATTTTGCTTATTTTCTATAGTGTTAAGGCTTTTTTTTATTTTTAGAAGATATTAATATGTTTCATATACTACCTTTTTTTGTTGTGTGCATTACATATTTCCAATTTCTCATTTGCCTTTTACACTTTGATTTTTTTTTGCATTTACAAATTTTATATGAACAAATTTATCAATATTGTCTACTGTTTTGTCTATAAATTGTCATAGTTTGAATAATTTTCTCCATTCTAGATGTACAGTGAAATTAACCTATGTTTTTACCTAGCACTGGTATATAGTTTTTTAATTTTAGATTTTAATCCATTTAAAATTTATTCTGGCATAATAGGTAAGAACTGGAACAAAATTTATTTATTTTTCTTACATGGCTATTTCATCACAAGATCTTAATTATTCAAAACTAGTATACTTTACTCACTGACTTGAAGTCTCATCTTTGTCTTACACCAAATTTATATTTACAATTTGGGCTATTTCTGGAATATCTATTATAGGGTACCAGTTTTAATCATATGAACTTGCTGAAGTTAACGAAGCAGCTGTCCAGAAGAATGTCCTGCATCTTGGGTTTGTCTGCTTGCTTCCTTTTGAGATATTTTACTTTATTTCTCATTTTGCTAGAAGTTAAATATAAAAAGCTTTATAAAATCAAATGAAGCATTTTTGACTAGAATAAAAACTGATAAAATTATATCTGTCACAGTACATCATAGCAGAATTTATGTAATATCGGTTTGACACACCATTAATGGTACTATAATTTGTCACTAAACAAGTTAACACAGATCATCTCTCTGTCATACATTTTTCCTTGAAATTTGTAGAAATAAAATTTATAATACATCCAAATTTAATTAGTTAATTTTAATTAATTAAACTTTATTTATAATTTAAAAATAAAATTTATCAATGAATTATTTAATATAGATTGACATATTTTATAAAAATAATACTCGAACTATAAGATAAAAAATTGAAAATATGTTACGGCAACTAGAATTATAGTTGCCTAATTTTAAAAAAACTATCTGTAGCTTTCTGTTTTCATCTACTTTTATTTTTAAAATTGTGTTAATACTTATATTGTTATTAAGGTAAGGGTCTAAACTTGCCTTAATAATGATACAAGTATTAATACTTATTATATCAAATCATATCAAATCATCATATAATCAGTAGACATTTTAATGACAAATGAATGATTTAAATAATTTTTCTTTTTACTTGTTCCCTTATTCTAGGCAGACAAAGCAAATTGCAAAAAAAAAAAAGATCACATTCAACAAAAATATGTGAACAATTTTTTAAATTGATAATTGTAAACTATGAGTTTCAAAAATATTTTTGTATTCAATTTTACTAGAATAATTGAGTATATATTGTACATATTTTTATAAATAATTTTTAACAATTTTTTCACCTTTTAATGAGAGCATGGATATTTCCCCTCTAATTATTTTATGCATGCATGGGTTAATATGACTTGTTTCTAAAATCATGCAAGATGCAGCCTTAATTGTTTTCCCTTTTTTATTTTCAGAAATGTCAGCAGTTACTAACATTTTTCATATTTCAAATAAATAAATAGATGGGAATTCAAGGAGTTCTACCATAGATATATCACTTAATTATCTAAATCCCTTCTCTATTGTATGCAAAAACTGTATTGTGATCATTTACCAAACATTGCTTTTAATGATTTATTAACTGACAACCTTATCTGACCATCTTTCAATTTTGTTGAAAGCAAATATTGGAAAGCACTTGAATTGTAAAAGCATTTGTTACCCAATCAGTAAAGTCATGCACATCCTCAATTTTGGGGAAGTCTAAAAATTGACATGACCAAGATCTGTCCAATGTCTTAGTTTTCATACACGTGTTAGAAGTTAAAGGATGCTTCTTAGGCAACAGTGAATTTCATTGTTTTTTTGTTTAGTAGTACAAAGTAAGTGAGAATGAATGATGGCTGGGAGTTGGTCAGAAAGTGTGGGAACTGACAGAACAGCTTTACAGCAAGTGTCTTCTCAGGCAAATAGATTTTGCAAATAGTATCTATGAAAATGAGAATATGAGCTGGAAAGTGACTGCCTAAAAATTGTCCATATCAGCTCCACCCTTGGTAAGTAGGTATTCCAGGGTACACATGTCTCTCAGTTTGAAGAACACTGTCCATAGGTTCCCACAAAGTAACGTGCGGTGCCTTTCAAAAGAAAAGAAATGTTGATAGAGGAGATGCTGATAAGTTTCAATAAACTAATTCAGGAGCCAGCACTTCAAATTTGTTTAGATCATCGTGGGTTTAAATATATATATATATATTCTGGAAGCCTGTGTTGTCTCTTTCCTTAGAAGACTCTAAAAATGGTCAACTGGAATCTGTTTCTCCTTTGCATTAATCAGCTTGTGTTAATCAGCTCAGTTAGAACCTCTGCCTATTCGCAAAGACAGAGGGCTTTCTGTATCCTGGGTTCTTGCCTTAGTGTATTGGAAAAATCGGATCACACAGGAGCTTGGAGAATGAGGGCAAAGTTCTGTTGACTGGAAGTAGCTCTCAGTAGCTCTCATTGAGCTGAATGGGGAGGACAGCAGGGGATGGAGTGAGAAGTTGGAATTGAGCCGCCCAGCGGCCAGACTGTCCTTTTGCAGAATTCCCCTCGGCGTCCGCGTCGTTCCGCTATGGATGGCCTTCCAGGATCTGACGATGTGTTCTGCCAGTGTGTTCCTCTCGACATGTAGCTGCTTGTGTCTGTGCCCACTAGGATCCTGGGGTTTTTATAGGCACAGGATGGGGGAGTGGCGGGCCAGGGTGGTCTTGGAAAATGCAACATTTGGGCATGAAAATAGGAGTGCCTGTCCTCACCTAGGTCCATGGGCACAGACTCGAGGGTGGAGCTCTAGCCAGGGACCCACCCTTCTCTACCCAGCACTTCCCTGCCCACCTGCAGTATCATGTGATATATACTTATACACAGTTACACATTATATTTAATATACTATTTAACATTTTATACATCAGTGCCTAAGGAAAGTACATAAAAAATTCCACCTAATATTTGGTATGGTTTTTGGCAAGAGGAATTGTATTTCTCTGTGAACAATTACTATTATTACCAACTTAGATTACTTAAAAGGTAATCAGGAAAGCATAGGTAGTAAAATGACATACACATGTTCAAGTACTTAAAATCTTGCATAGGATGAGATATGGTAAATTGGACAGAGATGACAAAATGAATGGAAAATGGCGTGGAGGCTAAGCATGATAATAATGTGTCTTATTCAATTCTACGATTTAATGATATTTTGATTTAAGGTTAGATACAATCCAAATCTATGAAATTTTAGATTATTAGCAAATGTAAATTATTTTTTAGTTTTCCCCAAAAAACTGAATTAAGTTACTTATAGTGTATTAAATGGGGCCATTTGTACATTCAATAGCTCTATTTAATCAGAAACACTCAAACTGTTTCCTTGAAAATATATACAGGTGTAAATAATAGTGGAAAATGCGCTTGGCAAGGTATCTTTGGAGCTTGCCAAACCCCAGACATCTTAGAAATGCTTGAAGATGTTATAATGAACAAAACATACTACCAGTCCACTGAACCTTGGCGATATGTGTCAGGAAAGCAGACAAAATACCAAATATGTTATCATGCTTTCACTTAACCAAAGCCATCCTTTTGCATTTGAATTTTACTAAAGACTTATCCAATTTTTAGTTCAGCTCTGAGATGAATTAGTGTGTTAATTAAACCAATGGCAGATTCCAATAAAACTTTTCATCAGTGGCTTATAATAATCTCTGAAATGGAATTGGGCATATATGCTTTGAAGACTTTCACAAAAGGACACAACAGCATTTAATGAGTTGTCTAAACTTTATATTGGGGAATGAATTTCCTACCAGTGGTACATGGAAGTTTTTGCATTAGAAAAATGTTAGCAAAAACACACACCATATGCTCCTGTTGCAGGAACTTTGAGAGCCTTATTATGTCTCATAATAGACACAGAGCAGTACAAATTCTTATTTTTACCTTGTACGCTGTCTATTCTTCATGTCAAATGTGTACAAAATGAGTTCCTCTTCTACTGATCCAAGACTATTTTCTTCTTCCTTTTATTACCTGAAGTCTACTTCTATGTTATCATTCTTTTATATGAATTGAAATTGAACACATATTTTATGCAGTACATCAAGTCCAGCATAGCTTATTTATATGTGAATTATTTTGCTTCTAATAAGAGAACAATCCACAATCCATCCTACATTATATATTATATTAAGTGGGTTAGCAAAGAGGGGATTCTAGAATATATGAAAACTACTGGGTGAATGTTCTGTTTTTAGTTTGCTGCTTCCATTAGGATTCCTCTAAACTGAGCTAAGAGGAACTTTCTTTGATTTCATTATGAAGAATTACTAAAAGATTTCTGACATTCAGGTGAGAGGGCAGAAGGAACCAAGAGGCATGTAAAGCTAGCAGCATGCAGCTCATTCTCATTTAGAAATATCCAAAAGGCTCAGCCACAAGTGGAAAAACCACTGGAATGCCAAGAGTGCAAATGTTTTAAGAAGACAAGAATTCTAATTAGTCTGGATGGGAAACTCAGCATGACGTTCGATAGCTGGTTTGATGTTTAGAGTCATTACACTGAACCGTGTTGGTAGGATTATACAATACTATTGTGATAATACAAATGTTAAATAAACCACCTACCTCAGAAATTTCTAAACAGAACTTTACAGTTTTTGGAGCAAATAAAAAAAATCTTAGTATTTTTCTTTGTTAGATTTCCTAATGAATTTAGCAGTCTTTACACTTAGCAGGAAATCTGGACTGATCATTTGAGGCCTGTTTTCTTTATACATTTTGGAGTACGGGTTTGCTTTTGGACACCTAATAAATCATGATCTAACATCTAAGAGAGACTTATTGCTATATTGTGAAATCAAGGGAAGAAAAAAAAAACAGTGTAAATACTTGGACTATCTTGTTATGTTCTTTGACATATAGGACAGTAATGAACCAAAAAGCAAAATTCTCTAGCAATGATATGTTAGTGCCCCAGTTTTATTATGTTGAATTAGTAATGGTTTTGTGTTTGAAAATGTTAAGCCTTACCTTGTTTGTAGTTCACCAAGGAATACGACCATATGTGATGCTTTTTCTGTTTCAGGCAATGCCCCCACTGCTGGATAGATTGCTGTTGACAGCTTTTGACCAGAGGGAGCCATTAGATTTTGCTGGCTAGCAAACAATTACAGCTTTGATATGAGCTACAAGGTAAAGATTAAAAGGAATACCAATGTCTAAAAATATGCTAGGCCTGTGTGGTCTCTAGTCCCTTCTTGTGCAAATGAAAAATTGTTTAGATGTACAAACTAACAAAAGACAAAACCAAAAAAAGCCAAACTTTTTAGGATTTGAACAAAGGTCATCTGAATGCTGAAAGATCCCTTTAAGAATAGTAGAGACTTCATACCATTATAAAGAATTCAAAAGTTTCATTTAAAGATAACAAATACCTTTCAAATGATGCTATTAGTAAGGTAGGTTTAAAAATAATTTTTGTATTTGGAAATGTGCTGCTTTTATTTCTAGCAGTGTAGTCTTAGGGGAACAGTTATATCTTACATATTATGATGCAATAGTGCATTTAAACTGACTAGGCATATGGGTCAATGAATGCTGTCAAACAATAAGATAAAATGACTGTTCATACTATTTGGACATCGCTGAGCATAAGCTAAATCCATAGTTTGTTAGTTTGAAAACATTGCTTGGAATAGCAAAAGGGACAGGAACTATGGCAAATTTAGCATCTCATAGATCCTGATATTATAAGAAAAATCAACTTAAACATTTTTATAGGTAAAGCCTATCTTCCTTTGGCAGAAAAGAACCTTACTTAGATTCTGAAGGGGATCTTACAGAGAAAAGATAAAAATACTAACTTTTTTTGTGTGTGTGGAGTGTTCTGTGCTCTGAGATTTTCAAAAATTGGAAGTAAATAGTAACCTATGAGTTCAATTTTAAAAAAGTAAAAGCTTTTGATGTCCTAAGACAAATGCAAACTTACAATCTTTTACTGTGGTAAAGTGAGATACATTACTCCTTATTAAAAGTCTATAGATTTGATAATTTGTCAAAGTACTATTATATCACTTAATTTTTGTTTTGTTTTTAACTGCATGAATATTAGAATCATTTTTCCTCTGGTTATTTTCATGATTATCTATAAGTATAAAGTAGAAACTGATGTATTAAACATAACATATTTAGGTTGACTAAAGTATGAAAACTGATATGGTTTGGATGTTTGTACCCTCAAAATCTCATGTTGAAATGTGACCTCCAATGTTGGAGGTAGACCTGGTAGGATGTGTTTGGATCATGAAAGTGGATTTCTCATAAATGACTTGGTGCCATACTTGTGGTAACAAGTGAGTTCTCATTCTATTAGTTCATGCAAGAGCTAGTTGTTTAAAAGAGTCTGGCACCTCTTTCCCTGTTCTCTTGCTCTCTCTCTCACCATTTGGCAGGTCTGCTCCCCCTTCACCTTCTACCATGAGGAAAAGTTTCCTGAGGGCTCACCAGAAGCTGAGCAAATGCTGGTGTCATGTTAGTATAGCCTGTAGAATCATGAGCCATATCTCTTACATTTATAAATTACCCAGGCTCAGGTATTCATTATAACAATGCAAAACATATTAGCACAATAGTTAAAAATGCATAGTTTTATCATTTTATGTTGTTTTCAAATATAGCCATCTTGTGTAAATACAAACTTGCCTTACTTTTGAACAAATCCATATACTAAGTATTTTCCCTCGCATTGCCTCTTATAAGATTTCTGAAACAACTTTAGTCTGTTTTAACGTGTTTGCTACCCTCTTCAGTTAAGATCAATAATCTGGCTTTTGGAAATGAAAATATGATTATCATACAATTGCCATGATGACACCAAAAAAATATAGTCTTTGTTCGATTCCCTGGATCCAAAATTACTATTAAATAACCTGCGTAGGTGAGAGAGATGACTTTCTTTACAATAATATGGAGCCAAATAAGAATCACTTCCTACTCCATGTCTGAAAGATTGCCTTAGTGGACAGTCTTCCTCCAAATTTTGGGTTTATGAAAGGTCTGGCTGTCTGGCATGTAGAACTACAAGTAGACAATTGCATTCTCATTTGGCTTATTTTCCAAAGTACGCCATTTTTTTTCCACTTTGCTTGTATTTCTATATCTGTTAATGGAGATAACAATACTTAGCACATGAGTTGTTATGAGGCTCCTAAATTGCTTTGCGCACTGTCTGACATATGGTAAGTGCTCAAAAACTTAGCTAATTTTATAATTGTAATTGCTTTTACCTACTTTTAGAGCACAGAGTCTTTGTCATATCATTAAAAGAGCAAATGATTGATTTAAAAATCAATGAATCTTCTGTGGACAGGTTATGAAAAATATGTTGATTAAAAAAGTCTTGAATGATATTTATCTTCTTGGATATCACCTAATTGCAAGTCTTTCTCTTTTCTCAATTAAAAAAAAAACATAACATAAAAATTTCAAATCTCAGCCAGGCGCGGTGGCTCACTCCTGTAATCCCAGCACTTTGGGAGGCCGAGGTGGGTGGATCACCTGAGGTCAGGAGTTCGAGACCATCTTTGCCAACATGGTGAAACCCCATCTCTACTAAAAACACAAAAATTAGCCAGGTGTGGTGGTGTGTGCCTGTAGTCTCAGCTACTCAGGAGGCTGAGGCAGGAGAATTGCTTGACTCCAGGAGGCAGAGGTTGCAGTGAGCTGAGATCAAGCCCCTGCATACTGCATCCTGGGCAACAAAGCAAGACTCTGTCTCAAAAAAAAAAAAAAAAAAAAATTCAAATCTCTGCCATGTAGATGTAGATATTACAAGTAAAATATCATTAGTATTCTTCAAAAGAATCAATAGATGTTTACAGTAGCTAATAGCCTATCCAATCTCTAATATAATATGCACATTTTAAAAATTCTGATAAATGAATATATATTTGAAAGAATCAAAATTAATTGAAACAACACAAAGAAAGCACTCAAATTTTATAAATGAATGAACAAGTAAACATTTTTATGTTAAAGAATACTGAAAGAGGAAGTAAGCTATACATTACATTGTACTGCTAGATATAATTTGATCATTTCTTGGTTTTGTATCTGTTTCGGGTGTTTACACATATCTCTCTCTATGTAAGTGACTTGACTTTCTTCATTTTTCTACCCCTTACTTGAACCTTTTCCTTTTCAGTTTTCTTTGTCTCTCTACATTTGCCTAAGTGAGAAGGCTTAGTGTCACCCTTCAAAAGCCTCCTCTTCGCTTTCTGTATGCAGTCTGTCACAAAGATATGGGAGTGCTGGGAAGGAAAGAGCATAGTTCCTTTAAATGATACGGAAGGTGGGAAGAGAAGTGCTGGATAGAGAAAGGTGGGTCCTTGGCTAGGGTTCCACCCCCACGGACTTGGGTGAGAACAGGTATTTCCTGCTCAAATGTTGCATTTCTCAAGACCCTGCCATGCCCCCATCCTGGGCCTATAAAAATCCGAGACCCTAGCATGCACAGAGGTGGCAAGATGTTGAGAGAAGCACATTAGCTGAAGAAGACGCAAGCGGCTGGTTGTGGAGAGGAGCACACCAGGGGAGGAGCATGCCAAGGGAGGAGCACACCAATAGATGCCAGAACTCAGGCAGGCCATTCACCAGTGGAACGACACAGAGTTCGGCTAGAGTGGTTGGAGAAGAGTCAGGTTTGACTTCAGGGGAAAACCATCCCCCTTCTGGCTCCCGGATCTGCTGAGAGCTACTTCTACTCAATAAAACGTTACACTCATTCTCTAAGCCAACATGTGATCCGATTCTGCCAGTACACTAAGGCAAGAAACCCCTGTATACAGGAATCCCTCTGTCCTTGTGATAAGGAAGGGAGTCTAATTGAGCTGGTTAACACTAGCTGCCTATAGATGGCAACTAAGAGAGCACCCTGTTACACACACCCACTGGGGCTTCAGGAGATGTAAACATTCACCTCTAGACACTGCTGTGACTTCCGATCCCCACAGTTTGCCGTCTGTATGCTCCCCTAAAGGTTTCAGCAGCAGGGCACTGAAGAAGCAAGCCACACATCCCCATCACATGCCCTGCGAGGGGGATAAGGGAACCTTTCCCATTTCAATGATTCCATTTCAAACTATATCTTAGATTGGTCCACATTCTTCTGCCTACGCTACCATCGTTTCTTTCCTGAAGAACAACAACCACCTTCAACTTAGTGTCTCCTAGACTCTTTTTACTTCCTTTAATCTAGTCCTCCCATAATCTAATGCAATCTTAAAATATAAACTTGTTTTCTGCATTTCCCTTCTTAAAATCATTTGATTGGTTTCTTATTGTGTGTGAATAAATTGAATATTCCTTGCTATGGTGACCTTCTCTCAGGCCCATATCATCTTTCACTGTACTCAAACCAAAGTGGCTTTCTTCCTATTTCTAGAAATATTCAAACTCTTTTTGTTATCAGAGCTTTAATATCTGCCCTTTCTTTGCCTCAAATGCTATTTTCCCAACTGTGCCTCAGGAAATATCTGTCTAAATAAAAAGTCCGAGTTTTAAAAGTTAAAGTGTTTGAGAGAACTGTCCTAATCGAACAATGTAAGTTATATTATTTCTGTTACTCTGCTTTACAGACTCACTGTTATTTTGCCTGGTAGATGCAATGTATTTATTTTTTCTTAGGACCTATTTACTATTTTTTCTATTTGTTTTCCTATGAAATTGATCAAACAGAAAAGTACAGGCCATTAAGAATACATAATAGTGTTCCTGCCACTGAGATTTAATCTTATATATACACTGCCCAATTTTCTTAAATACATTGCAATAAAAAGTTACCAACATCAGCATTTCTAGAGGGCATGTTTGTTTTCACCCTTTCTGGCAATGTATGGAGCTGTTATACTGTCCTAATCCTTGTTAACACTAGCAACTCTCATGAGAAGTAAATGAAGTCTCCTAGTTTTAAATTGTTTACTGATTGCTATTTTCTTAGGGAACTTTCCCCCTGTTTACTGCTTTAATATCCTTATACTTCTTTTGTGACTTGCCTTCATAATATTTGTCTATTTTCTTCTTGAGTTGTACCACCCTCTCACACCACCATTATCAGGTTCTGGGAGATTTTTATATGTTCAGCATCTTATCATTTGTTTATAATATATGTTGCAAATATTTGTTCCTAGTGTATGTGTATTTAATTCGATTTACTTTTTTGTTTTACAGAGTCTTTAGTTACACAGAGATAGTTCATTGTAGTGTAATAAAATTATCATTTTTTAATTATGGAATTTAAACATTACAAAGAAGGATTGGGTCACACTTGGGGTAGAAAGGAATGAAAAATTGCCATTAGGACTTCTAAATCTGAAATTCAAATATGAAGATGCGGCACTGTGGGGAACGTGAGGCTGCAACACAGGAAGGACCCATGGGACTGAGAGGAAGGAGAAGCTCAAAGAGGAAGAAAAGAGGCACAACCTGAGAGAATGTAGCAACCTGTGGAGTTCTAAGGCTGCAACTTTATTAGCATTGCAGTAGTTTAGGGAAGGAGTATGAAAAGAGTATAGGGTGGGTATTGAGATCTAAGAGATAGTGCTAGAAGGATTAAGTGATGATTTTTCAGGGCTAACCCAAAGCTAAGAACTGGAGACAGGTTTGAGAAAAATGTTTTAAATATGAGCTCAAGGCCCCCAAATGAGTGAAGAGAAAAAGGAACATGGGCAGAGAGAAGTGTGCATGCAATATGAATCCCAATAGATCATTCTGTGCTTGCTGTTTTCTCAAGACTGGATGATCAATGTCGTGCATCCAGTCAATGTCTGGTGAGTATGACCTAGATATGAATGAAGTCCCTGTCATGCCTCAGTTATTTTGCACACCATAGATCATACATGCTTTCACTATAATTCCCCACTCATGGCACAGTTCCACTCAATTGTGAGAAAACCCCTCAGTTCACAGCTTCTCCCTAGGGAGGAAGCTGGACTGTGAATTAAACATTCCACCTTTTTCAGCTATTTGTTGAGGAACTGGCTTTTTTGTATCACCTGTCTAGGAGCACTGACAGAACCCAGCATACACCAAACATCTATGGGCTACTGTGAACAAAGGCAGTGGTTTGACCTAGTATGTGGACATTCACCACAAATCATTTCAGTAACTCTGCATATAGTAAGTGGTTAAAGAAGAGCCTCAGCTCATAGCTTTTCACTGGAAAGAAAATAGTTGAACCACAAATCCAAGGTTCCAAATTTTTCAGGAGCTGCTCAAGAGTCTGGCTTCTGTCTTGCTTTTCTTTTCTTTTCTTTTTTATTATTATTATACTTTAAGTTTTAGGGTACATGTGCACAATGTGCAGGTTAGTTACATATGTATACATGTGCCATGCTGGTGCTTTTCTCGGAGTGCTGACAGAACTGATCACAGTCTAGAAGCCTGATGGTCACTGAAAATAAATATTATTTTTTAAAATTTCATTTTTCTTTCATTTGAATATTTTATTGTTAAAAATTCCATTTATATTGAAATAGAGATAAAAATCAATGTATAAAGTTACAAAATACAGACAGAAAATTTCCCTTCCAACCATCTCCAGCCTCTTACTCGTGGGTTCTATTTCTTAATAGCAACTACTTTTTACTGTTTTGTTTTTAGTTCTTCTGACTGTTTCTTTCATGAATTTAAATTATATGTTCATCCCTGTATTTTTGAATAATCTATGCTAAATAATGTCTATGCATTTTTATTAAAAAATTAAAAATTATTTTACTTTTAACATTATGTCACCTCTGAAACCTCTCTTCATTGTTGGAAATATTTTTATTTTTACCTTTTTATAGATTATGTTTACTTTTTAATTGACACATAATTGTACCTATTTATGGAGTTTAAACAAGCACAAAAGCAACCTCCATCAACCCCCTCCCCTGCCTAGGGAAGAGTGAATGAGTGAAAAAACTTTATATTCTATCTTCTCCCTGGGGAGGTAAAGAGTTGGACAATGAACCCAATGATCTAACTCTCTGGGTTCTATATGAGAGAATGGCTTCTATCTCTGCTATCTTGGAGCAATGGCAGGATCTGTTGTACTCTAGACACCTGAGGGTGGCTGGGAACTACGATAGCAGTATGGTCTACCACAAAGATTTGGGAGATCAACAGATAATCTGGCCAAACTGATTTAAGAAGGTCTTTTTCTGCACAAAGCAAATATGTGAAGACTGAGTGAAGTGTTTTTTTTTCCCAATGTGTAGATCATACCAATGTACAAAGTAAAGGAAATGAAGAAACAAGAAAACACAATCCAATAAAGCAACAAGATGAAACTCCAGAAACCAACCCTAATAAAACAGATAAATATAAATTAACTGACAGAAAACGTGCAATCACCATTATAAAATGTTTAATGAGTTCAGGTAAAGAATACAAGAACAATAGAAGAAGTTAAACAAGCAGATAGAAAATTTTTAGAAGAACAAAACTGAAACCTTGAAGCTGAAGAATATAATAACTGAAATAAAAATGTAATAGAAAAGTTTCAGCAGCAGACTAGAGCAATCAGAAGAAATAATCAACAAACTCAAATACAGGTCATTTGAAATTATAGACAGAGTTGCAAAAAGAAAAAGAAATGAAAAATAGTGAAAAAAAGCTTAAGGGGCTTATGGGAAAACATTAAGCAGATCAATATATGCATTATGGAAATTTCAAAAGACAAGAGAGAGAGAGAAAGAACCATAAAGTTTACTCAAAGAAATAATGGCTGAAAACTTCCAAAACCTGTGGAAGAAACTGGAAATCCAAATGCAGAAAGCTCAAAGGATTCTAAATAAGATGCACCAAAAAAGAAAAAGAAAGAAAAACATGCCAAGACACATTAAAATCAAATTGTCAAATTCAAAGAAAATCCCAAAATCAGAAAGAGAAAGGAAACTTTCATATACAAAGAATCTCTGTAAGACTAACAGCAGATTTTTACCTTTCAGGCCAGTAGTTAGAAGGATGATATATTCAAAGTGCTGAAAGAAATGAAAAAACTGACAACCAAGAATATTATACTCACTAAAACTATCTTTCAAAATTGAAAGAAACAAAGATTTTCCCAGGCAAACAAAATCTGAATAATTTTATTACCACTATATCTGCCTTAGAAGAAGTACTAAAGGGATTTTTTTTCAAGTTGAAATGAAAGGATGCTAAACCATAACATAACAGTATATGAAAGTATAAAACTAATTGGTAAAGGTAAATATATAGACATATATAAAATGCTGTAATAGCAGTGGATAAATAACTTTTTATTCTAGTATAAAAGCTAAAAGCAAAAAGTGTTAAAAATGACTGTAAGTAAAAATATGTTAATAGATACACAATATAAATAGCTTGAAATTGTGACAAAAATAACATAAAGTTTGGGAAAGGGAGAAATAAATATGTAGAGTTTTTGTATGCAATTGAAGTTAAGCTGTTATCAGCTTAAAATGACTCATATAACTATAAGAAATTTTATTTAAATCTCATTGTAACCACAAAGAAAAAAATATATATATAAATTACACAACACAAAAGAGAAAGTAAACAAACCATATCAATAAAAAAAACTACTAAAGACAAAGGAACACCACATAAGTGGAAGAGTGACAGAACAAAAAACAAAACCTCATAGAAAGAAATTAACAAGATGGCCAGAGCAAATTATTTTCTAATAAATAATTACTTTAAATGTAAATGGATTAAAGTACTCAAGCAAGAAGCATTGAGGGGTTGAATTAATCAGAAAAAAATATGATCAATCCATATACTATCTACAAGAAATTCACTTTATGTTTACTGATCCTGAAGTGAAGAAATGGAAAAGATACTCCATGCAAATGGTTGCCAAAAGATAGCAGAAGTGGCTAGACTTAGATCAGGCAAAATACACTTTAAGTAGAAGACCTTCACAAGAGATAAAGAAGCACATTATATAAGGATACAAGAGTAAAATTGTCTGAAAGACATTTTATATATATATATAATTATGATGTTGCATATGTATGTGTGTGTGTGTACTCAACATCAGAACATATAGATATATAAAGCAATCATTGACAGACCTGAAGGAAGAAATTGACTGCAATATAATAATAGGAGACCAGAAACAGCAAACATGAACAAAAGCATGAATCGATAGATCTACCAAACATGTAGAGAGCACTCCACCCAACAGTAGCATATATATTGAGTAGAGTATACATTCTTCTCAAGTGTACACAAAACATTTCTCAGGGCAGATCACATTTTACATCACAAAAGAATCTTAACAAACAGAAGAAGACTGAAATCCTACCAATTATGTTTTCCAGTCAGAATGGAAGAAAACTAGAAATCTACAGCAGTAGGACAAATGGAAAATACACAAACGTGGAAACTAAATAACACAATTTAAACAACCAATGAGTCAAAGAAGTAATCAAAATGGAAAATAGAAAATATCTTGAGACAAATGAAAATAAAAACACAACATAGAAAACTTATGGGATGCAGCAAAGGCTGTGTGTACTAAGGAAAGTTTATAGTGATAAAACACTAACATTAAAAAAGAAGAACACAAGTGAACAAATTAACTTTAAACCTCAAGGAACTGGAAAAAAAACAGCTGAAGCCCAAATTTAGCATAAAAAGGAAATAATAAAGATTAGAGCAAAATATATAAAGAATACAAAAACGATAGGAAAAAATAAACAAAACTGAGTTTTTTAAATGAAGTAGTTATCTTTTCAAAGCTAAACAAAACCTGTAGCTAGACTAAGAAAAAAAGAGATTTAAATAAATAATCAGAAATAAAAAAGGAGACATTGAAACTGATGCCATGAGAATAAAAAGGATAATGAGAGAATATTAGCATTGTATGCTTTCTGAATAACCTAGAAAAAAAATGAATCAAACCCTAGAAAGATATAGCTTACCAAGGTTAAGTCAAGAAGAAATAGATAACTTCACTGATGAAATACAACTAGATTTAAAGAAAAATTAATGCTGGGTCTTCCCAAACTCTTCCAAAATATTGAAGAAGAGGGAACACTCCCAAACTCATTTTATGAGGCCAGTATTACCCTGATAACACAGCAAGACAATGACACAACAAGAAAAGAAAACTGCAGGTCAATATCTCTGATGGATATAGAATTTAAAATCCATAATAAAATACTAGCGAACTGCATCCAACAGCACACTAAAATGTTCATACACCACGACAATGTAGGTGTTATTTCTAGGATGCAAAGATGACTCAACATATAAATATCAATATAACATATCACATTAAAGGAATGAAGAGTATACATTACATGATCATCTTAATAGATGCACAGAAAGCATTTGAAAAATTCAACACACTTTCACGGTAAAATCTCAGCAAATTAGGTATACAAAGAAATTACTTTAACATAATAAAGAACATACATAAAAGTCTATGGCTAACATCACATTCTATGGTGAAAAACTGAAAACCTTCCCTCTAAATTCAAGAATGAGGCAAATATGCCTATTCTTGTCACTTCTACTATAATAATAAATGTCCTAGCAAGAGCAATTAGACAAGAGAAGGAAATAAAAGTCCTCAGAAAGAGAAAAAAGAAGTAAAATTGTCCCTGTTTGTGGATGACCTGATCTCACATATTGAAAATCCCAAAGACTCCACCAAAAACCAAAAATGAAAAAAATCTTTTAGAATGAACAAATAAAACAATAAAATTGAAGGATACAAAATCAAGATACAAAAATAAGTTTTTTATAGTAAGTTTTTGTGTTTCTATGCATTAGCAATGAAATATCTGAAAAGGAGATTACCAAAACAATCCCATCTAAAAAAGCATTTAAAAATACTTAGGAATAACCTTAACTAAGGAGGTGAACAATCCTGTGTAATGAAAAGTACAAAACATCAATGAAACAAAGAAGACACAAGTTGAAATACATCCTGCACTTATCAATTGTCAAGCATAATGTTTTTAAAATATCCATAACCAAAATAACCAATGCAATCCCCATACAAATTGCAATTGTTGTCTTCACAGTAGAAAAATAGCTTAAAGTTTATATGGAAGCCCCAAAGACCCCAAATAGCCAAAACAATTTTGAGAAAGAATAAAGCTAGAGGCATCACACGTCTTGATTCCAAAGTATAGCACAAGTCTACACTAATTGAAACAGTATGGTACTAGCATAAAGATAGACATATATAGATCAATAGAGCAGAATATTATATCCCAGAAATATATCCATACACTTATGGTCAACAGAACTTTGACAAGGGTGACAAAAATATAAAATGGGAAATAATAATTTCTTTAACAAATAGTATTGGGAAAACAACATCCAAATGTAAAAACACTTAATTTGAACCCTTATCTTACATCATACGCAAAAACACAAACTCAAAATAAATTAAGGCCTTAAATTTAAGACCGGAAACTGTAATAGTAACAGAAGAAAACATGGAGAATAAGCTTCATGACATTGGGCTTGGCAATGATTTCATAAATATGATACCAAAGGCACAGACAGCAAAAACAAAAGTGAACAAGTGGGATTACATCTAACTAAAAGCTTGTGTGCAGCAAAGATAATAAGCAACAAAATGAAAAGGCAACCTATCAAATGGGAGAAAATATTTGCAAACCAGATATCCAATGAGATTAATTAACAAAATAAAAAAGGGATTTCTGCAACTCAAAGTAAAATCATATCAACAAAAACAAACCTACTAATCCTATTTTAAAAAGTGGCTAAGGATTTGAATAGACATTTCTCCAAAGTAGTCATACGAATGGCCAGCAGGCCTATGAAAAGATGCTTAACATCACTAATCATCAGGGAAATGCAAATAAAAACCACAATACAAGTTATCACTCCACACATGTTGATATGGTTAATATTAAATAATAATAATAGTAACAAATCTTGGCAGTTAAGAAACTGAACTCCTGTGAACTGTTGGTAACATGTAAAATGGTGCAGCTCTTATGGAAAACAATATGGGATTTTTTTCAAAAAATTTTAAAAAAGAACTAAAATATGATCTAGAAATTCTACTTCTAGGTATTTATCCAAAAGAACTTAAGTTAGGATCTCAACAAAATAATGCACTCTCATGTTCATTGCACCATTATTCACAATAGTCACGGTGTGGAAACAACTTTAATGTCTATCAGCAGGATGGGTGGATGAAGAAAATGTGATATATAAATACAATGGAATATTTTCAGCCTTAAGAAAGAATTTTTGCCATATGTGACAATGTGGATGAACCTTGAGTACCTTATGCTAAGTAAAATAAGCCAGACACAGAGAGGCACATTCCACTAATATGCAGTATCTGAAATAGTCAAATTATTAGAAACAGAAAATAGCATAATTGTTGCCAGTGTCTGGGGAGATAGAGTGACATGGGAAGTTGCTAACCCATTGGCATGAAGTTTCAGGAATGCAAATATGTCAGTTTTAGAGATCTATTGCAATATACTGTGCCTGTAGTTAACAATACTGTTATTGGACACTTAAACATTTCTTATGAGGGTAGATTTCATGTTAAGTGTTCTCACTACTATAAAAACTATAAATAAATAAATAAACAAATAAGAGTAGGAGTACTATTTTCTAACTGTCTTACAATGTGCAAGGATCCTCTCTCTGGGACAATACTTCATTTTGTCAGTCAGGTCAGAGTGTCAGTTCCATTCCTTTATCAATGAGTTCAGAGTAAACACTTTCAGCCTGTCTGGAATACGAAAGTAGCTGAAAATGTAGAGATTCATTGTCCACTCTCTATGAAAAGAACAGAGTCACAGAATTTTGAGATTACTATTAATACAGGTTAAATTGTAATCATGGCTCAAAGCTCTCACCTTCCTCAATATGTGGGAAATCGGGAGCAGTATTCCTTTGGGTACATTAGAGTAGAGCAATAATTCAAAGACCTGTTATATAACTAGAGAGCTTAGACAAGTATGTGTTGTATGCATGATAGTTGATTTCTAGTTTTTACATGCATCAAATAATTGTCAAAGTGTTCTACATTCCACTGCACATAAATTTCCTCACACAGTCCATGGATTTATTTTTTTTCGACGAGTAATGATTGAATGTACTATGTTCCAGAAATACGCTGAGGTTACAAAACCTCAGAAATAGTCTGAGGTTACAAAAACATGTTAGATGTAGTGCTTGCCCACAAGGAATATTTGAATAAGGGATATAGGCATGTAATTCATAATTATAGTGTTATAAGTGCCTATGATTAGAGTATGGAATGGGTGGTATGGAATTACATAGAAGGGGTATCTAAATAAGGTGAGGGATTAAAAAAATTTTTGAAGAGATGAACTACTTCAGTTATACATAAAAAATGAAGAGAATAATGAGAAAGATATAATATAAAAGTTCATAAAGCTATTAAGTAGGGGGATTAATAACCGTTGAGGGAGAAAAAAACTGTGCTTTAATATATCACTAAGTCTAAGTCATAAAGTAATTATATTTTATAAGAATTTTGTTAATTTTGATCATTAAAAAGTGATCTATTTAATTTTTGTGGCAAAGCTGCTCATTGTCCCCCAATATACATTAACTTTTTTATCAGTAAGGGAGCTAGGCCTAGTGTAAAGCTTACAGCTAAGATTGGTCTATAATTAATGATTAAATTCTGGTCCATAGGATATAAACAGGAGCAATGTCCTTAAAAAACAGTAACATATCCTTCTCTATCCCTTCCTCCTTACAGGTGGTAAGCATACAGACATGTTGGCTGAAGGTGAACAGTCTTTTTGGACAATGCTGTAATAATTGCAAGTTGAAGATGGCAGATAAAAACATACAGGAGCCCAAGTCCCTGCTGGCCCCATGGACCAGCATCCCACTCCCACCCATGGATTAGCTATCCTGGGCTCTTTTTTTTTTAATTGGAGAGAGAAACAAATATGCATATCAGAGTTTTCTATTACTCAGAGCCAAACGATCATAATGAATACAGTTTTATTCTTACAACCCTCTTTTAAAAAATATTTTGTAAATGAATGACAAAGTTAAGTAGAATAACAGTTAACATTTCTAGATCACCTCTGGTGGCCTAACACTTTACCTAGGTATATGTATCTCATCTAAGTCTCTCAGCATCCCTTGAGGTAGGCCTTATTATTAGCTGCTCCAATTTACAGTGGTGAAGGCTCAAGGTCAAAGAGGTAGTGAAGAGATCAATCAGGATTTGAACCAGGCAGTTGAAATCGAGTGTCTGGCTCTTCCTGTCTTGCATATTTTGCCTTCCCTAACTAGATACAAACTAAGAAAAACAAAACAATTGAATTTTTTTTCTGAAATCATGAAGACAAAATTAATAAATTCATTGAGTTTTCAAAATATATTTTCTGTCCTTTTCACTAGGCATGCAAACTGCAATATGTTTAAAAAACAAAGCTACCTGAAAATAATACATTTTAGATATACATGTTCTAGGAATCATGTTCATGAATTTAAGATAGAAAAAGCTGAAATCTCAACAGCATATAAAAACATAAACTTCTGAAAATATAAATTAAATAACAACTTTTTAAATTACTTTTAAATAGACAGACATCCAATTCATATAACTCTACCATTCCTGCATGTTTTCAACTGATGTATTACTTCTCCTATTATTAAGTCAGCAGTCAATGACAGCAGGAACTTTTTCCTGTAAAATATAGATGGTCATATAATTTCCAGTCTGGACTGGACTTAGAGAAAACCTAATTCAATCTGTTTAATTTATCAATAAAAAAACTATTAGAGAATTAGAAGAACTACATGTTGTAGCAACTTAATTACAGTTCGAATTGTATTTAGATCTAGTTCTAATTGTAAATCTAGTAACAGCTTCACTACGTCTCATGTATGAAAAGAATCTTCTGCCTCCATTTGATGGAAAAGTAGGCAATCTGCTTAAGATATTTACAGGCTAAATATCCCTGTACAGGTTGAGGGTTTCATGGTGTCTATTATTTGCTTTAATTATTTATTTATTTATTTATTTATTTTTATTTATAGAGATGGGATCTTGCTATGTTACCTAGGCTGGGCTCAAACTCCTGGCCTCAAACTCCTGGCCTCAGTGATCCTCTTTCTACAGTTTCCCAAAACACTTGGATTATAGACATGAGCCATCATGCTCGGCCAAGGTGTCTATTATTTGATAGTAAATATAATATTATTTGAAAATAATAGTAGTTTATTGTACTCAATGTATCAGCCAGGCAAAAGTTTCTAGTCTGGAGATGGTTATTTGTAGGTTTATAAACCACTGAAATTGCATAGCAAAATATTTACATGTAATTGTACATTCTTCTGAGGAATGAGTACATAGTTTTTTTAGATATTCAAAGTATTGAATAATTGAAAAACATTGAGAGAAGTGCCCACTTCAAATGTCCTGATTATCTGCTGAAGCATTTTTTCCTCACCACTTCATTCACAATTATTTGCTCTTATTTTTTTTTTCTGCAATAATTTGGAAACTGAGACATAATCCAGATAAAAGGAAAAAAGGATGTCCATAATTGCTCTGGGACAATTGCCCCATTAAGTAAAACAGTAAAACAAATAAAAACAAAACACAAAATGTGAATGGCTTGGATGAAATAGTTGCAATGAGAAGGCAGCAGTGTGAGTATTCGCTGCCGTCATAGAACATACGTGTAATCCTGAGAAAGAGGCAGAAGAGAAATGTTCCTTGAATAAGCTCCCTTCTTATCTTTTAGCAAAAAAAAAAAAAAAGTGAACTGGTTTTTAAATATCACACCGTTTAGGAAAATGGATCATGAAACACATTTGACTTCACAGGTATTTCACATTAACTTATTCTTTAGGTATGGTGATGGCTGAAAGATACAAATGAAATAATTGTTCATGAGACTGTCAAAAACACCAATCATGCAGCACATCTCACACTCTTAACTAAGAACATTCGGCTCAGT
The DNA here is from genome assembly GCF_000001405.40 of Homo sapiens. NCBI lineage: Eukaryota > Metazoa > Chordata > Mammalia > Primates > Hominidae > Homo > Homo sapiens. Next base: position 84,565,051 of record NC_000007.14, read on the forward strand.
TAGGAGTCTCCATCTAAAAAGAGTTTCAATATAAAGTAAACATGGCAAATGATTTCTCCTCCTTCCTTTGGAGAGGTCACGTTTGAGGTTCACCAGCGATGCAAGATGGGAAAGCCTGGCTTGTGCTCACCTGCTAAGAGTTCAACAGAGAGCTTGCACAGTCAATGCCTGGTGTTTAATGGGCAGCGCTGAATTTATCACCTGAAACTCTAACAAGCTAATAAGCCATTTATTAATTTGTGTTAGTTTGGGCACCATAGAATTGCCCTAACTTGAAAACAACCACCCTCCCAAGATATGCGAAAATTCTCAGGCAAAGTAGTTGCATGCATTGCTTTGGAAAATCAAGTTTACCAGGCAGGTTTTGTTGTGCTCTTCTCAGCATGGTTCTTAGTATCTAAAGTGCCACCACATGTTGTAACAATAAAGCTATTGCTTATCAATCAGACCAAGTTGACAACCAACAAATGCTGCTATGAGTTGTTGTAGGCTGGATTACAATCCTCTCCTTGGTAACCCATCAGTGTGTGTCTAATAAGCAGTGTTCAGTAATGTTCAGGGTAGTAAACTCATGTAGAAACACTTAAAAATTACAATAAAAACAACAACAGAACAAACAAAACAAGAAAGAAAGGCTATGTGTGGAGAAACTTTTCCAGAAACAACTAATTGTAAAAGTACACAGTTTCCACAAGGGGACAAATACACTCCTTTTTAAAGACTTGAATAATTCTAGACAACACCATGTTTTTTATTAAAACCTAACCTTACAAGTAACACTGAACTGTTCTTAAAGATTGATGGGCATTCATCACCCTCCTCTTTGATGGAAGGTGTTGATACATTTTTGGTGGTAGCTTAGCTACATCCTTCTTTAACTCTTTCAGAAGTTTTAGATGAAGACCATTTGAACATAGTGATTTATGGCCACTTAATTTCTCATATTTTTTCAATCAGGTCTTTGTTTTGATTTCTCTGACAGTTCTCCACCTTCTTTTTTTGTACGAAGTAATTCCAGAGTAGATACTTCTTCATCATCCTGGAAAGCAAGCCAAGCACAAAGCATCCATTCAGTCTCTTTGTATTTTTTGCTATCTCTTTGGAATGTTTCATTCCCAACATCGTCTAATAGGTCAATATAATCTTCAGTGGATTTTGCATTTCTGATATAATTGTCACTTGTCTAAAGGGAATTCTTTTATTATGCACTTCGGAGTGACTTGTGATTTTTTTTGACATTATCCCTAAAGATCAGTATTGTGGTCTCTGATCACTTCTCCTCCATCTTTTCCAAACTCAAACATCTAACCTTCATATTTACTTTTGTTGGTGTTCACAAATCTCTGATAATGTATCCTTAGACAGGGTATATGGTATTTCTATGTATTTAAGTTTCCTACCTTTTTCCTTTTGGACCTTTCTAACTAATCTCCTTGTTGTTGTTTTTCTTAAACTTATCAAAATTTGAGTATCTATATGTGTCCCTTTGATGTAAAGTTTTCTATGAAAATGTCAAATGTGATTATGTCATCACTACTGCTAATTTTTAAATTTATCATCTTTTACCTTAGACCAATGAGTCAAAAGTCACAGAAGCTATACCAACACTCTAATTTCCTAAATGATGTGCTTGTAAAAAAAGTATTTATCCCACAGTGATACAAGTTTCATGACTTAAGTACAATGTACAAATCTTGTTATTTTTATGCCACCTTTTAAAATGTGCCAGTCATGTCAAAATAGCCAGAACAAGTTTCCCCATCTACCAACCCTGTCCCCAGACTTGCCACTGCTGTCCCATGCTCTATATAACATGTCTTTGTTGTAATGCAAAGTTTATGTCTTGTATTTTAATATGATAAATCAATCACAATGAAACATAGGTTTCTTATTAACACACGTCAATCACTCTTTGGTACTCCACCAACACTTATGTATAGTAACCATAGTTTATCTTTCTTTGTATAAATAAAACAATGTGTCTCTCTCACTTTTCTAACCATTTCAATGTAATGCCTAGTGTCAGACAAACCAAACTAAGCAGTGGTGAACCTATTCTTACTTCTTCCAGATTGAATAAATCTAATCAAATAGTTTTTGTATCACCACAGATTCTCTTTTGGAAGAAACCATGAAAGAATTGCCAAATTCCTGGATTAACTGAAAAACATACAAATATTTCAGCAAAATCTTAAAGTGACTTTGTAAAAAATCATAAACCCAGTATATACTTTGCTGTTACTAGGGACATTTGTTCTGAACTTAGATCTTAGACTATTTTATAATCACCTATTTCTCTTATATGGATTATTCAGATTACCAGATCACTTACAGACCTCATTGTCAATATTTACACAGTTTACAGAAAACACACCTGGCTCTGTATCCAACTGGTAATATTTGCACTTAAATTCAGATTCAGAGTATCCTATCCTTGGAAGGAACTCAGGCCTTTCACAAGATAAACAGGCTTCAGACAAATGTTATGGATGGATTGTATATCTCCCAGATTCACATGTTGAAGTCCTAACCCCAAAAGTACCTTGAAATGTGGTCTTATTTGGAAATAGGGTCATTACAGATGTAACTAGTTAAATTGAGGTTATACTACAGTAGGGTAGGCCCCAAAACCATATGACAGGTATCCTTATAAAAAGGAAATATTTGGACAGAGAAACACACACACACGGAGAATTCTATGTGAATATTGGTGTTAAAATGCTACAAGCCAATGAACAACCAGAAGCTAGGAAAAAGGGTTGGAACTGATCTTCCCATATCCTTACAGGGAATACAGCCCTGTCAAAAACTTGATCTCAGACTTTTGGCCTCCAGAACTGTGAAACAATTCCATTTCATTTGTTTAAGCCACCCAGTTTGTGATATTTTGTTATGGACTTTTTAGCAAAATAATGCAACAAAATTCAGTATCATTAATCAATATCAAATAATGAATCAGGCAAATAATGAATGATGGGCGGAGAAAAGGGAAATTAATACAATTTTGAAGGATTGTTATTTTATATAATCCTGAAGTGTAAATTTTTTCTATAATTGCTGGTTAATTATCAGCTTGCTCTTCAGAACCCGCATAGCACTTGTTTCATATGTATGTTAACAGTGCTTTTCACACAGTTATGATCATTTATCTTCAGGTCTGTCTCTGTCATTATCTCGAAATCGAAGAAGCCTGGGACCACTTGTAGCTTCTTCACCTCAGAATCCTATAATGGTACATGACACATAGTACATGTTCATTAAATGTCTTCAAAAAACGATGAGACTATCTTTGCCATCATATTTAGAATTTTAGCTAGATTGTTATTTAAGTAAGATTTTTACTCAAAATAGTAATAAACGAGACATACAAAACAGTTCCAGACTGGACTCTCACCATATCTTTTTTCAACATGATTACTACAAATGAGATATACTGTTTTTTAAAAGGGTTTTAGAAGACCAAATTTACTGATGATATAGTGGACTGAAAAGTAAGAGTGAAGAGACAGAAAGCAGTCCCTGGCCTCTGAACTAGATTTCTATTTGTAGATTCGTAGTTGTTGTCTGTTTCTCAGAACTTAGCATTAAGAGAAGGCATAAAAATATTGCCATGTGTTAACCTCTATTATAGACCCAGCTTGTCCTGCTAGGCCAGGGATGGAAGTATGCGAGCTGAAACACACATCTTAATGTGAACCAGACTTGGTGGGGGATTCACCACTGTATCTTGCCAGGTATTCAAGCCTTCCAGATATTCTGCATCTTTTGATGATCTGCCTATAAATTCTTTCGGTCTCAGAAACTGAGCCCAATATTTCTTCTCCTCCTCCTCCCTCTGACCTCCGCTGTGTCTCATCTGCATTGTACAGTCTGACACAAGCTACCATGGTTTTGTCTCACTTTCATTTTGCTGCATCTGTTTCACTGCATAACCCAGATAATTGTGTTTCCAAGCATAGCCTGGAAATCTGATTTCTGTTCCTGATAGATAATTCAGTTTTATTTTTCTGACTCCGTGTCTTAACCCATTAAGAAATATCCAAGACATGGCAGTTAATCACAAGTGTGGAAGCATAGATTTCTGATCTCTGTCCCCAGATGTATGTGAAGTGGTCCTGCATTTGATCTTGAAAGATGTGTTCCCCAGGTAACTGCTATGAACAAGAGCTACTATTGGTGGGCTCCTGTATCTTAATCAAAGGGGAAGAAATAAAGCATTTACAAACACTATTTCTGAATCTCATTAGTTCAAAACATATTGGGTATATTTATACAGTATTGCTGATTAAGTTTGCTTTGTACTGAAACTATTTATTGTAGATTCTTATTGATTTTCAACAATCTTCCATGAGATTTAAGTTACTGAGAAAAAGTTGTAAGTTTTCTCTCACTGTCATTATATTCCATCTCAAAAACATTTGATATAAATACAATGGAGATTTAAAAATATTTGATACTACTACAATGGAGATTGAAAGTTGAAAGACCCCAGATTCAATGAAGCTTAAAGTTGTCTGTTGGGCTGATAAAATATTTTTAAGGTTTATTTGTCAACAAGATTTAAAGGCAGTATATTTCCACCCACTTCCCTTCATGTAAAACAAAAACAAAACTAAATTCTGAATCTCCAACTGATGTTGAAAAAAAAAATGAAAGATCTGGCAACATAATACTTACATTTCCACATGACTGAAATTGACTATAATATGGTATGTTTAGTTTGCCAGAATCCCCACCTCTCCCTCTTATCCCTACCAAACTTACTTCATTCACGAGAGATAGCTGCTGGCTCCTGTATTAATTTAAATAACCTGTAAATTGCCCAAGATGTTGATGTTTTATGCAGATGATTTCAGTAGGATGAATTCTACATCTTACTGAAAAAAATGTTTTTCAATAGAATTGTGTTTTTTGTTGGGTGTAACTTGCCCATAAACTGACCCACTCAGTACAGATACATATGTCCCAAGTGTTAGCCTTTCTTAGCAGAACTTTGACCTTGTGTATATAAGCTTTTTGTTCAATAAGGAAAACCATCAATTACGTTATGTTGTTTGGTACCAAAAATGCTTTGATCTTTTTTAAGGGTATTTATTACAAAGGAAAGCAGGGTGAGAACCCTCTGACAGACATGAGGCCATGAGGCTTTATATGAAAACCTCAAGCATCTGTGACTGACTGGCATAAAACCATGAGTATAAAACGCTTCAGATCTGATCCACCTCACCTTTCTGGATTTGATTTCTAGCTTTTCTACTCACTAGGTATGTGTTTGTGGAAAAATCCCAATCTTCCTGAGCCTGAATTTTTAAATTTGTCACATTATTTCTTTTTTCATGTACTTTTAAACAATTTTATTTTAGGTTTGGGGGTACATGTGAAGGCTTGTTACATACATAAACACATGTCTTGGGGGTTGTTGTACATATTATTACATCACCCAGGTATTAAGCTCAGTACCCAATAGTTATCCTTTCTGCTCCTCTCCCTCCTCCCATCCTCCCACCTCAAGTAGATCCCAGTGTCTGTTGTTCCCTTATTTGTGTTCTCCAGTTCTTATCATTATTTCTAAGATTCCAAATATGATCTCTAAAAACCCACTGAATTCCTTAGAAAACTTCAATAAGACTCCATTGCATTTTGAAAGTTATCATTCTAATTAGCACATTAGAAATTCATGGCCACAACTCAAACGTTTTACAGTAAAACCATTTTGCAAATTACCCTAAAGTTGCTGAACTCGTTGGTCTATGGGTAGTATATTGAGTGTTTTTTTTAAAAAAAAACTTCATATTTTCATCACAGTATGTTAAATTTCAGATGGAATTTCACCCTAGAATCTATTCGAACTGCTAAAGGTTTTGAATGTATTAAATTGCAATTCAACTCTCTGACACCTCCCCACTTTCTGTTTCATCTTGAAAATAGGCTCTACCTCTCCCCTGAGTATTAGAAGTCTGAAAAGAAGAGCTGTCTCCATGAAGATGGGCCAAATGCCCTCCCTCCTGTGGCTGATTGTGCTACATCATCCCAACATGATAAACCAGAAATCTTTGAGTGAGTTTAACTTCCTATCCGTCCCTGATCCTGCAACACCCAACTAGTCATATAATTTGTGCATTACTTATATCCATCCCCTAGCCAACCTGTTGAGGTTTTGTAACAAACTCTTTGCCCAAGGCCTGTCCCCTTAAAAATCTGTGACAGTATTTTCAAACTGGTACTTCTGCAACATGTGCTTAACTATTTCTTTCTTTTTCATAAAACCACTGTCCTCTTTTTCACAGCATTGTGAAGTCAGCATGTGATGGTCATAAGAACACAAGACTTGGGGAAGGTGACAAGCCAGGGTTTATATTGATGCTCTCCATTGTTAGCTACATAGTCACAGAAAGTAGCTGACTATGTTTGAAAGGCAGGTATTAAAAACATTACTTTAGGGGAAAGAGGTATATAGGTTTTACGTGTCACCACAGAAGGCAAAACTAGGACTTCCTGATAGATATGATAGGAGTATATATTTTCAACGTAATACACTGAAAAATCTTCATTGAAGCAACTTCAAAATGAAATTTAATGTTTTATGAAACACAATTTCTTCATCCTTAAATGTATTTTAGTAGAGAAAATGTGACTACGAGTTAAAGAAAGAAATGCATGTATCAGATGAGAAAGAAGGGAGGTTGCATGAGGAAGCAGCAAAAGATGTTTCCAATCTGAGATTTTCAAATTCTCTAGTTTTAGTTTAATTGAATTGGCTTAAATTAAACTCTCATTCAAGTATATTTTATACTTGAATTTCAGGACTATATTCGTTTATAGAAACAAAGTGTACTAAATGTAAAACTTCTTTATCAAATGGATATATACTATAAAATAACTTTCAAACTTAATTTGTGTAGAATTTGTACTTGGATTTAGGGATGTATGAGCCAATATTATGTTTAATTCTTTAGTGGTTGAGAAAATTTTAATACATTTCTTGGGGAATCTATACGCATGTACATACACAACAGATTTTGTGATAATTCTGTACAACTATCTACTGCTCTACTTTTCTCATTGTTCCCAAATACTGAAAAATTCAGAACATTATATTTTCTTTGAAATGAATAGATTATTTATCAAAGAAATTACACTATTAATCTTAGAGTTTCTATAGTGATTCAAACATCATTTACATTTATTTCATTTATATTTATTTACATTTATATTTACATATACTTCAAGAGAGTTTTCTTTTGAAATATATGTTTTTCAGAATCTAAACAATTTTTGTCCTTGAAAAAATTTGTTGTTGTTGTTTTGAAATAATGTTTTTGTTTCATTTAGGCCTAAATGTAAGGAGATAAATTGCTACAAACGCTAATGGTCTTTTTTATGATGTGAATACCTGTCCGTGTGATTGAGACCACCAACCAATTTCCTATAAACCATCAAGCAACATCATGTGTTAACAATTTTCGGTTGCTTTTAATCTGGTTTGGATTCAAAATGGTAAAACAGAGGTGAAAGGTCGGATTTAAAAAAAAAAAGAAGAAATTCTCCTGGGCTAGCCAGCCTTTTGAATTTTCTGAATTTAAGTTAATTATATCATTAGAATTTAATGAAATTATCAACATGTTCACCTTCATTTCACAGTAACACTTCCCTGTTCAGATTAGAATCAATCTTTTAATGTTTATCTAGGTGTTGATAAAGAGAACTACAGAGCACCTAGTGCTTTTTTAAGACACTTCATTATTAGATTTTGAAGTGAGACCATAATTTAAGATTTGGTGAGGGAAATGTTTTTTTTAATGGTAAATGAACAATATTTTTGTTATGTTCTTTTGGAATTTGCATTTAAAATTTACTCACTGGTTAAATATTCATCTCAATGCTGCAGTGTTAATTTTTGACCTGAGTGTTATTATATTTTTATCACGCTTATTTGTAAAATTAAGAAAATATTTAATATTAAGTAGTTTAATAAAATGACTATTTCTTTTAACCAATATAAATATAAGATAAATATGTCTTCTAAACTTTCATATATGGATAACCTTTTGAACTTAGATTCCAAAAAGTGAGGATAAATTTATAACTATATTACAGGTTTCATACTTCACATATTATTAGTGTTTTTAGATTATCTTACCAAAATAGATGATTCTGTGAAGGGCTTAATGGCTCCAGCTTAACTTTATGAACTTAGTCACTTTTAAAAAAAAAATTTAAAAATTTTTAGTCACATTTTTATTATTGTATGTTGCTTTCTCTTGTCATTTTAAAATTTATTTATTAAATAACAGAAAAGTTTAGATAAATATTAATGGAATGTGACATAAAAGTGATCAAGATGAAAGATAACAGTATTTGTAACATTTGTTTATTTTTCAGATGATACTAAATGAAGTAATTAATTACAGGGATATAAATTTCAAAAAAAATATTAAATAGGCTCTTGGATTTTTTACAATCTATTTAATAACAGTAATGAAATGTGAACACTTTTTAAAAATTTTAAATGGCAATTTGATAAAAAATGCATTGGTAAAGAGACTATACAAATCAGAATACACCTCAAAAGAAGGACAACCATAAGTATTTCATGATTTAATAAAAATATAAGTTGAAATACTTAAATCTTAAAATTAAAAACAACTTATAATCAACTATGATCAATTGTGATCATTCTCTTCTACTAAGATGATAAAGGTGACCTTTATAGGTTTTACAGCTGTTAAATATTTGTATGTTTGGCATTTTTTTTCTCTTCAAAAAATCCTTTAACACCCAAAGTTGTATTTATAATTTTATCCTCGCTTTATCTTAAAGAGGATAAAAACATTTTTTAAGCTTCAGGCTCCACAAAACTTAGATCATCTCCTTTGTTCAAAGTAATACTGGTTAAGAAATATTTAAAATTCACTCAGATGACGAATGGTTTAAATTTCTAAACAAGAAGGAATTACAATCACTTTGGCTTTGTTTTACATTCTTCCTCCCCTTCCATTTTCATCTCTGCGCAGTGCTAAGCTGTCTAATGCAAAGCCTTCTCTAACTGTGCAATCAGAAAAAGGTTTGCATATGTGGAATGAGAAAGTTCATAAATACCAACAAAATGTCTCAGCCCAATTTCTGAGACAAGAGATTCTTATGATAGTCATTATTTCCTATTTATTTTATTCCTTCAATGACACATTGTTTATCAATATAACTAACTTGAAACACAATTTCAACTCTGCCAACTGACTTTTGCTTTGGAAGATAAATTAATCTGTAATTAACAGAAAATCCAAAATAAGTGTGGCTTAAGCAATAGAAAAGTTTATAACATTCTGAATTAATTGTAAGCAGTCTAACACTGGTCTTGAAGCCCCACATTATCAGGAATGCCAGCTCTTTCTCCTTTTATGATCTGTTGATCACAATATACAGTTTCTACATCATTTTCTAAGGCAGCTCCTCAAGTAAATGCCTGAAGTAAGAAAAAACATGGTAGTAACAGATTCCTCCTTTAAGACACTTCCCGGATATTCCACAAGGCACTTCTACTTATAGGTCATTGGTCAGAATCGTGTTACATGGAAAATGAATTATTTATCCTGAGTGTCCCAGGGCATAGCTAACCTCCAGCGGTTATATAAGATGTCCATGCCGTATAAACTACGTTATGTTTGTAACTACCGTTTTCCAGTTCATTATCTTTATTGTGGCTATCTAATAATTTGAAAGTACCATGCTCAATTCTTGTTACTGCACAGTTTCCATTTGTATAGAAATGAATAAATTATTGGTGTCATTCACAGCCACTATTTTTAGTTGTCATTCTTAGAGAGTATAATTTAAGATAGGAAGTTTGTAGTTCTTTTTAACTTTTTTCCCTTAAGGCTAATCTTAGGAGATGAGCCTAAGAGTGCACAGTTCTCTTAATGCAAATGTAATATTGTATTGGAATATTATGTATCATAATATTCTTATAACTAAAAAGAAATATTATTTCACATCATCTGAAATCCTAAGAAATAAAATAAGAAAATAAATAATGTAATAGAACATCTGAAAATTAGATATATCAAAAATAAGATAAGTAAGTAAAGGAAGAATACTTAGTTAATGAACTAGGGAAGAAGTAAACCACCAAAGGTGCTTGAAGTTTCAGATAATAGCAAGGAAAGCAAAATGGAAGGGGAAAAGGCGAAATGATTATATTCATATTATATTTTTACTAAATGGGAAAAGAATGAAGCCAATAATATAGTTAAAAAGGGGGAGGAGGTGAATAACTTTAATGGCTAAACAATACATATTCATGAACAACATAGAAGGGGACAGGAAAGTAATGTAATTTTATGCACCAGTTCTTTATTTTAAAAATAGATATGGTAGGCCTACTATATTCCAAGTTGTATTCTAGACTCTGGAAATAAAGGAGTGTATAAGACAAAGTCTGTGACTTCAAGAGTTTATATTTTAGGAGTGATAAAAGCAATAAAAAATAAACAAATATAAAATTAAGTGCTGTCCGTTAATTATTAGTATGGTGAGGAAAATAAAATAACATAAGGAGACACAGAATGATTTACAGAAGGTAAAATGGCAGGCAATTACAGAAGGTGGAAGGGCAGGGCACAGAGTGGTTTACAGAAAGTGGCAACTATTTTGCAGTTACAGTCTGAGAATGCCTTTCTGGAGATGTTATATTGGAGCAGAGCAAAATTGTGACAACAAGATTCTTGGAGAAAAATGTTCCAAAGGAAATGTCTCAACTTGCACCCAGGTTCTGAAATTTGAAGACAGATAAGGCTCTAAAAGAATTGCGCTTAGGTTTATTACAGATCTCATCATCCAGGAGTAAACATTACTTTGAACATGTTACAAAGGCACAGAATGAGAGGAATAATATGATGTTGCTATCATTTATAAAAGGCTGAAGATTGTGAAGCAAATTATTAACCCTAGAAACAATGCTGAAATGCACAAAAAATCAACTGATAACTTAGTTTCCTAGATTTTCCTTTTTTAGGTAATTAGCAATGGTACATTTAAATAAAAAAAAGAAATGAAACAGGATTAATGTTCTTTGTCATATTTTGAAGGGACTCAATATCCCTCCACCTCTTCCATGTTGAAAAATAATAATAAACCAAATTGCTCCTGTCCTAGAAAAATAGACATACAACTAAAATAAAATGACATTAATATGTACTTGATGGAATGATACCAATTATTACATGTTACTAGAAAACCACAGAACAGGGGTTTCTAATTCACCCCAGAGAACGTTCAGTGAAGCCATCAGTGATTAAGTGTTATTTGATCAATGGTGTGTTGCTGCAGTTTTCAGGCAAAATATAAGTAGCATAACAGAATTAGGAATGAACAAAAGAAACGAGTGGAGAAATATCCAGGTGGGAAATTTTTTGATTAGCTAGCAAGACTTAAGGAACTGGACAAATCAATCATGACTCCCAAAATTTGAATGTAGAGCTACTAATTTAGATGGGCCCTACACGACTAGGACAACATAGAGAGGAGGAGATGGGAAATCAGTTAAGCATACCACCCAAGGCCTATTCTATTAATGCTGAATTTAATTACCTGGCATAACTAGATCAATAAGGGACCAAGGGGAGAAGAGTTAATTTATACGCCCCATCTCCTCTGAGTGGCTATTTAGGTTATTAGAAAAGCACATAGTAGGGGTTCCTAACCCCTAGTGTACATCATTTTATATACTAATAGGATTTGAAGCTATTACTTCCTTGTATTTCCTCTCTCTTGGTATTTACTCAATGATGATAATTATGATTTCACATGAGACTAAGAAATAATGGGATAATATTATGCTTTTATTCTAATAAAAGATATCCAGTGGCAGTTGAATACAGAAATCTGAAAATCAAGGTAAATTTTAGAAATCATCAGCATACGAGTTGGGGTGAAATCATAAAAGTAGATGAAATAATAGAGAGAATATAAAGAGCAAAAAAGAAATTTAACTTGGGGAAAGGGACTCACAAATAAAATAGAAGGATAAGGCAAATCACATGTATTCAATAATTCAATCAATTATATAATCCTGCAGTTCCTAGACAATAAATCAACAATGTCAGATTCTATTTAAGTCAGGCACTTTTAGTTAATGCTTTGACACGAATTGTTATTTGGTCATTCCAAGTAAAATTCAAATGCTGTAACTGCTAATATTTTCCTTATAGTAGTACTTGAGTACTCTGAAAAGCATATTGACAAATTTTAATTATAAATTAGTAAAAACAATTATGTAAATATTTACTTAAAAGCTCTATCATTGGTTGTATTTACAAGAACACCTTTTGGTTACAAGTCACAAAAACTCAATAAATAGTAGAATATGTTGGCTCAGAAACATAAAAATTCAGGGTCATTTAGGTGTAGCTGGATCCAGGAACTCAATAAAATAATCAAATATCAGATAACCTGTCTCTTTTTATGCTCTGTCTCTGCTCAATTTTACTATCTAATGGTTTCAATGCTCAAGAGGTTTGTCTCCTGGCCATCAGCAGATATAGTTTGGATTGTGCTTAACAACTAGCAATGCCAGAGAAAAGTGCGTAGCATCCCCTTCCCAAGATTTATATCAATCTTCGGAAGATAAAGTCACTGAAGCTTTTTCTTTCATATGCACCATAAAATTCAGGAAGTGAAGCCAGGTGATTATAGACTCTACCAAGTGAAAGAAAGAGCTGTCCTCCTTAAGGAAAAAGATGCAAAGAAAAGGACGCCAGGAAGATAAAAACAACAAATATCAACTGCACTACCTAGGCATGTTATAGGTAAAAGGATCAAGAGTCAGTATTTGAAAGATATTGTGATCTATCAAAGTATGTATTTTTTTCCATATAAGGAAACATAGTGTTCTTTCACTCCTTACTATGACTGAGAATAGTTCATAGTCCAAATCAAAATAATTAACTATTATTATAATGTTTCTTCAGCAGACATACATAGAAATGAATACTTCTAATGAAGGATTTGAATTGCTCTGTTTTGGATTTGTTAACTATTTGTTTAACTTGTGCTGTCAGAAGCACTATAAATCTATCTTGGATAATTGTATGTGTCTTTTTCTTTTGCTTGATACCCTTAAATGTCACTAGAGACTATCTTTTCTCCATGAATGATTAATTTTAAAAAATTATACATTTAGATTGAAAGATGTGGAAATAGCATAAAATATCAGGAAATCCACCCAGGAAGGAAAGCCAAAAATAACACACCTGCAAAAGTAAAGAGTATAACAGTAATGCCAATGGAATATCAATTTAAAACATAAATAATTATAATCTTGATTGACTATTTCTAAAGCATTTTTACATACGCATATGAAAGCAATGCTAAATTGCATTTTTTTCTGAAAGCTTCTCATCTACGGTTTAAGAAAAGATTTACATATTTTACACAAAAATAAATTTTGCTGCTGCATTCATTAATCATTCAACAGCTATTTGATAGCACCTGTGGCATGCCAATCACTGTTCTCGATTTTGAAGATAGAGAAAAGTACCTACCTTTAGACTTTGCAAAATTAAGAGTTTAAACAATTATGATTTGGGTATAAGATATAAGGAGAAAAAACAATTGAGAATGACTTCCAGGCCTTTGGCCCTAACACGTTGTGTGAATAGTGATTCTATTCAGTGAGATGGGGAGGAAAAGAAGATTGGGATGATATGTTGGGGGAGGGCGGTTATGTTTTGGACATAGTTTAACATGCCTATTATAGCGCCAAATGAAAGCATGAATTAGACAATTGGATACAGAGGTTTCTGTTCGAGAAAGAAGTTCGGCCTGGAGACAAACATTTGGAAGTAAAAAATGGAGAGATGTTAACCAAGGCCATCAGACAAAATGAGATTCTGTAGGGAGAGAAAAAATTAGAGAAGAAAGGGCCAATGATATCCTTGAGGTGCTTGATAATTTAGAGCTGTTGAAAAATGCATGAGTCAGCTACAAAGATAAAGAAAGTGATGTAGGAATACAGGGCCAAATAAAGAAAGGATTTCAAGATAGACGCAATTGAGTTAACAGTTGCTAAGAAATCAAAAAGGTAAGGACTGAGAACTTGGCAAGATGGTGATTATTAGTAACTTCAATAGGACAAGTTTCAATGTGGTTGTTGAAATAAAGAAAAAATTAAGTTGAGGAAATATATAAAGGGAGAAGTAATAATTGCTTCAAAGACTGTTGCTATAAAGAGAAGTAGAATAATAGGGTGGCAACTAGAGAATGAGACAAAGCTTTTAAAACATGGATTGTATTATGATGGGAATTATACAGCAGAGAGTGAAAAACTGATTATATAGGGAAATAAGATGGATATTTTAGGGAACAAAGCCCTGAGAAGTTTAATGAATTGTATCTAGCAAAGCTGTGGAGGAATTAGTCTTCAATACAAGAAGTGACATTTCATCCATAAGTTCAGGAAGGAAGATCTTATGTACAAATATAGACACAAGTGGTTTTGTAGATTTTCTTCCTTCCCATCAGGGATACAATAAGCAAGAGCATTAGCGAGACCCAGGGTTGGAGAAAGTTGTTGACAATATGAAGAGAGAGAAAAAGGTGCAAAGTAGTCCAGGAGACTGGAAGAGCAATGCTGGAGCCCATGAAGGGTTACACTATCAGAGAACATGCTGGGAGAATCAGTGTGATGGTACATGATAGGTTTAGACAGCAACCATAGGGCATGATCCTGATCCTATCAAGTAAACAACTGATACTGGGCTGCAGGGCATAGTCTACGTCGTAGGTTAGGGAATATGTTTTTGACTTGATAGGAGTTTGTTGGTAGAAAGTTTTGCAATTTGTAATATGCTGAAAAAAAGAGCTATAGACAAATAGATATAAAACCATTTAATCTCCACTGGTAAATAAGGAAATGCAAATTACAAAAATCATAAAATACCATTTTATATTTTGAAATTTGTTAAAAATTAAAATACCATAATATAAAGTCTCACAAGGATTACATTCCCTGCTGGTAGAAACATAGTTATACCCAATCACTTTCAGATCACTTTGTCAATATCAAGTAAAGTTGAAGGTGCCCAAATTTATGTGGGAATATATCTTAGAGAGACTCTTGTCAGCTTCATTAACATACACAGGTAATTACAATAAAAATAAATGTATATTGGTAGGAAAATGGGACAGTACATTGTGTTACTGTTATAAGTTAGAGTGTTCTGGAGAAATAAAAATGAATGAATGAGCTATATGGAACAATATAAAGTGAAACAAGAAGGAAGATAAATATTTCAGTGCTGGAGAAAGTTGGCTTATAGAATTGTTGGTGGGAAGATAATGATATATCCATCCTTTTGTTGTCTTAATGAATTGAAAGACGAGAATAGAAGCTTAAATACGATGGAGGAAAGAAGAGAAATTTGGAGACTTAAGAAAAAGGAAAACTGTACAGTAGTCTTCAGAAAAAGAAATGAAGAAAATTCAATACGGAAATCTAGCAATCATAAGCAGAGTTACAATTACTACAGCTTTCATCATTTCAATAGCAATAATCATTTCAGCAATATAGCTGAAATTTATTTGTATCTACAAGGTTATGCTGGGAGACCAGAATGATCTAAAGTTTCCAGGGGCAATTAGCTGAACATTTTTAAAAAGGGTGGACGTGAGGAGGCTAAATTTACCTGAGCCTTGAAGATGCTTGTGCAATTGCAGATTTCTTAAAGGATGATACAGAATCTTACAGAAGCATTTTACCAGGGAGCACCTAATTGGACTTGGCTCACGAGACCATTTTATATATAGGCTCATAAACTTAGTAAAATAATTGTTTATCATAATTAATATTCATTTAAAAAGAAGTCGATTTAGCAAAATTCAGTCATGTTAAAAATAACCATTATAAGTACAAGGATCTAGTAATATACTTAACAGCGTTCAGCCATTGAATCAAAGAGGTTTGAAATACTATTGAACATGTTTCTTGCAAATACAAGTTGTTGTACAGTTCTTGCAATTGTGAGAGGTACTTCAATATAAAATCTCTGGAATAAGATGGAATATATTTTCTAAAGCAACTTTAAATTTCAGAGAGATATAAATAACAGTATATCACACAGTAGTTTTTCCAAGTATGTGCTCTTAAATTTAGTTATTTCCTTTTATTTTATTTCCTGGGAGTAATTTTTAAAGTATAATTGGTTAAGGTTTTAGTCTTCATTATTTCCTAATACTTATCTATATGGAAAAAGTATTCAAGGTGTCGTTATTTATAGAAGGGATTATTTTGCATTGTATTAACAAGAAAGGATTGGATCCAGCTGAATATTAGTATCTTTCTTCAGTTTCCAGGAGTGATTTGAATTCCTAGTCTCAGATATAATCTTAAAGAAATTCCTGAAATGGAAACTCTGTTCTGACTATTCCATATTTGGCATCAATTTTATTATTAAGCTATTAATACAGAGTGCTTCAAACACTCATCTCCAGATTATTTAGTTTAAGCAATTCAAGTGAACTAGAAATATATAAATTTATTTTTCAATGCTTGTTGGAATGATAATTTGGGGGATAAAATTGTCAAGTGAAAGACAAATGGGATCTAATTAAACTAAAGAGCTTCTGCACAGCGAAAGAAACTACCATCAGAGTGAACAGACAACCTACAGAATGGGAGAAAATTTTTGCAATCTACTCATCTGACAAAGGGCTAATATCCAGAATCTGCAAAGAACTCAAACAAATTTACAAGAAAAAACAAACAACCCCATCAAAAAGTGGGTGAAAGATATGAACAGACACTTCTCAAAAGAAGATATTTATGCAGCCAACAGACACATGAAAAAATGCTCATCATCACTGGCCATCAGAGAAATGCAAATCAAAACCACAGTGAGATACCATCTCACACCAGTTAGAATGGCGATCATTAAAAAGTCAGGAAACAACAGGTGCTGGAAAGGATGTGGAGAAATAGGAACACTTTTACACTGTTGGTGGGACTGTAAACGAGTTCAACCATTGTGGAAGACAGTGTGCCATTTCCTCAAGGTTCTAGAACTAGAAATACCATTTGACCCAGCCATCCCATTACTGGGTATATATCCAAAGGAGTATAAATCATGCTGCTATAAAGACACATGCACACGTATGGTTACTGCGGCACTATTCACAATAGCAAAGACTTGGAACCAACACAAAATGTCCATCAATGATAGACTGGATTAAGAAAATGTGGCACATATACACCATGGAATACTATGCAGCCATAAAAAAGGATGAGTTCATGTCCTTTGTAGGGACATGGATGAAGCTGGAAACCATCATTCTCAGCAAACTATTGCAAGGACAAAAAACCAAACACCACATGTTCTCACTCATAGGTGGGAATTGAACATTGAGAACACTTGGACACAGGAAGGGGAACATCACACACTGGGGCCTGCCATGAGATGGGGGGAGGGGAGAGGGATAGCATTAGGAGATATACCTAATGTAAATGACAAGTTAATGGGTGCAGCACTCCAACAAGGCACATGTATACAAATGTAACAAACCTGTATGTTGTGTACATGTACCCTAAAACTTAAAGTATATATATAAAAAAAACCAAATATATATATATATATATAATATTAATTGAAAGCATTCAGCCATTATAATCTTATTTAATAGTATCTTTCAGGCAAGTTAATATGCATCAATGGCACAGATAACTTTTAGACTAATTTGATCATTTACAAAGAACTACCCTCTTTATGAACAACTTACCTTGAAGAAGAAGGACTGGGGAGCAAACATTTCAGGATTTACAGATCAAATGATCTCTGCATCAAGTACTCAAGTATTCAGCTCTGTCGTTGTAGTGTGAAGGCAGCCATAGATAATTTGTAAATGAATAGCTGTGACTGTGCTTCAATAAAACTTTATTTACAAGAACAAAGTGCCAGCCAGATACGGTACCTGGCCGTAGTTTGCTTACTCCTGGATTGGATCACTTCTATATAAATAAAATCCATTTACTCAAAGTTATGTATTATTAGCAAATATCTGGCATATGCCACTAATGAAGTAGAAGAGATTTTCCAAGAAAAAGATTAATAAAATACTGACGTAATAAGATAAATTGTATTGACATAAGAAAAATCGTTTTTGTATGTAACTTTAAGATAAGATATAAACACAATAGTTGATGCTTTCTTTCTGTTTTCTTCTACTAAACTTTCCCTCTAAACTCTCCAATGTTGCTTTTAAACACATTCTGTATTGGTCAAATACATTTTTTTAAAGTTTCCAGTAAGTAACAGAGTACATGTTAAAATCCACATCTTTGTATTTCAATTTTGGTTTATTATTGTCAAATTTAAACAAAGAGTCATCTGTCTAACTCTTAAAGACAGGAGTTTACAAATACTAACGTTACTGCAAGTGGAGAGCTATTTACCCACTACTCCAATGGAACTGTCACTCTGCCAGAATGCCTCACGGGTATCTATTAAAACTCCACTACACGGAACATTGAGCCCCTCCAAAGCTCTAAAATTTTCAGGGCTTCGCAGTGTTTTAATGATGTATCTCTATAAACTCAGATTTTTTTTTCCTGAGTTTGAACTGTTTTATCTCATCTCTCTAAAAATAGATGCAAACCCCATTTTAAATGCTGAATTTAACATTTTTAAAAGTTTAATTTACCAGAATGTTTAAGATTCGAAATGAATGATGACATAATTCTGTAGCTTTGTATTTTTCATCTTATATATTTTCTCTCTTGCTTATTCTATTTCATTCTATTTCACATACATATATACTACATATAGAGATATAGTAATTTTGTTCATTATGCTGTGTAATTTTCAAACAAATAATTAGAAATAAAATCAATACTAATTTTATGTACTTTACTAATGTCTGTAAGTTAAATTCTGATATATGGACTCCTATAATCTTTTGTAATTTGTTATATTGTTAATTGGGTGGTAATTTCAGTTAAATAATTTTTTTCTAGGCTAAATCTATAGTGGATAGAGTAGAAAGAGTATAGAAAAATGTATAATCTATAAATGGTTATTAGAGAAAGATTTCTGAAATATAATTTTCTTTTTCAGGTACCACATCCTAATTCTTATGAAAATCCAGATACCATTGATAATCTTTGCAGTAAGCATGCAAAAATATGTAAACTGCTCTTACCAAAGCAATCTGAAAGCATAATTTTTGTGACAAGAATAATAACTGTGTGAGAAATAAAAGCATTAATTTTTCAGTGTTTCCAATTCAGCATTTATTAATTCATTTTCACTCTTTAAACAAAGAAGGCCTAATGGGATAGCATAGTATTAAGATATTAGGAGACTTGAGGTGTATACAGTTGTTTTATAAGATTTGATTCTTTTGATGGCAGAACAGAACACAATTGCATTCAGGTAGATTAAAGGCAGAGTTCCTTGTTATTTATAGCTCCAAACAAGAGAAGGCTGACACTCAAGGCCAGACAAGGAGTTGTACCTAGGGCCAGGGTAGCAGCAAGCTGAAGTTTAGAGGATAATTTATGTGGGGCAAGTGGGGTGACACTAGCTAGATGTCAGGATCTCTCTGTGGACTGATTAATTTGACTAACTTCATGGGCTCTGAGCACAGGTGTTGTCCCAGCTAGCTGGTGCCTGTGCCCTAGGAAATTAAGGTAGGTTTATATGGTCATGGAGTCTGAGAATTCTTAAAAAAGAAGTGTTGGAGGTGTGGACTTAGCTGCTCAAGAAAAGAAACTGTCAGCTTCTACTTAAGGCCTCAAAACTGGGTAAAGACAGCATTTAAAACAAAAACCAGGCTATGTTACAGTTGACCTCTTTGTGTCTTGACATCAGTTTTGACATAAATTATTTGGGGTATCTGAATGGTCTAAATAGCAGAATCTCCCAGTAGGTACTCCATACATTTCTCCAAACTCTGTGTAGAAAATATTTTATTATGACAGTAAAAAGGAAGAAAACAAATAGAAGTACAAGGAATCTTTATAGGTTTCCCTTGAAGGAAGTTTCTCATGTATAGAGTATTACCTAGGAAAACAAACCTGAAATATCTGGGGTGTCTAAGAGTATCTTTGTGGTGTTATAAAGTATGTTAAAAGTATGAATTAATTTGTATGCCAATAATATCTTGGTGTATTCCTGAGTTAAGGGCGACAAGTCCAGTAGTTATGGTGTAAAGGGCATGGACTAATATTCAGTAAGGTATCTGCAAAGTTAGGAGTAATCAAGGTGAAAGGGACAGTTGTGGTGCTCATGGTCTGAGATGTTCTATGGGGGGTTATGGTGGAAAGCTGGAGTGGGGTTTAAGAGAAGGAGCTGTGGAGTGGGAAATTCTCTCTTCATGGGGCCGAGGAGTGGACTGATATGAGGCAGTTAGTTCCTGGAGAAAGCAGTAATCTTGATCAACTTTTAGAATGGCACAGATAGTAGTAATGGCTACAAGATTTCCCTTTAGGCTTGAGAGTGTAGGAATGCATATTTTGGAAGAGTGCAGGGATTAAGGGCTAAGGAAACAGTGAGCTCAGAGAATACAATAGAATCTGAAATAGCAGAGGAAGAAAAGCAATAAATGCCCCGTCTCTAATTTGTCTGCATCTTAGGAGGGGCAGTCCATGGGAATTGCTGAGGCAGTGTTCTCAGTGTACAGGATGCAGTCTTCTCTGGCAGCAAGCTCCTGGGCCGAGAAGATGTTATCTAGGCTGTGGAACTGGGGTATCTTTCTCAAACTGATAACCATTCAGTCCTTGTGGATCACATTTTTGTGGTTCTATAGTATAACGAGTCTGAACTACCTATGAAACTTGAAGGAAATTTTTGACCTGGGAGCTTGACTTGAAATTATCTTTTAAGTCAAGGGGCCTTTGGGTACAGATGGTGCCGGCATCTCAGATACGGTAGTAATTGGAGCACAGTGCCAAACCTGTCTGGCATAATTAAAGTGCCAATTATTGGTAACTGAATCTAAAGGCCCCTAACGCTCCATGTTTTTCCCAGATAGATGAGGAGGGGGTTTTGATACAAATATGTTTTAAATCATATGGCCTGATTTTGGTTCATGTGGTTAATATGGTGTGAAGTTGCTTGCCAATTAAAATACCTGTGGCTATGAGTAGAGCTGCAACATTAGCCTGTAGGCAGGCCCTCCAATTTCACCAATTACTATGGATCCTTTGCATCAGACAGGGTTTGGAAAATGTTATTGTAAAATATGGCACCTTGGCATTTGACAAAAGAGCAGAAGCAGGCCCTAGAAACTAGAAAGAATCCCCCTAGCTATCCTGAAGCAGGCCATAAAACCCAGCTTGTCTTTCCCTTAAAATAGATTATAATACTCTCATTCCAGAGGGGTCTTCCTTCTACCCAGAGAGGGGAAAAACGTCCTTAACCCTGAAGACACAAAGACACAGAGAAGAATCTGAACACCAGGCCTTGATGAATTTCCTCCCCAATTTATTACCATTACTTCATACCCCTTTTCATCCAATTATCTACTTCATCCACAACTATCTACTTCTTCTTCAGACTTATCATAATATGTACAGAGTTTACCTCATTTTTCTGAGCCTTTATTTTCTGAACACTTTCATGTAACATAAAGCATATTAAATAAAAATGTTTATGCTTTTTTCTTGTTAGTTTTTTTTTTTTTTAAATCACTTTTTCTTCCTTCCGCATCAGTTGTTGGTTTGTTTGGTGAAGGACAAGCTGGTGAGGCCTTTGGGCTTCATTAGCCAAATTCAATATTTGCCATATTTGGTTAAAACAATGACCTGGAAAGTTTAAGTCTGTGTATCACAAGTCAATGAAAGTACCCAAACTGAGAGTGACCAGACTAATAGCCTACGGAATGGTGTGCAGTTAGATTTGACAGAGTTTTGCTGCTTGATGTCGCTTTTCCTCTGTCGTATGTTATTAGCGAGGAGGGTTGGTCTGGTTTTCTCATTATGAAATATGGTGTTAATTCCATTATTATGTCTGAAGATAATTTTAATTTACTAAGTTGAGTTTTTTGTTTTCCTTCTGTGTAGTCTACACTGTCTGTAGGATTGGCCCTGGAGCACTAATTTTAATTTTATGGAGGGATGAGAAGGAGAACCCAGATTAATTATCCACCCCTTATAACCCAAATATTGAGGAAAGTATTTAGTGTGGTGGCAATTCAAGTTCAATTGGGTCCTATACTACATAGGCAGGTGTCTGGTCTGTGAGACAATCTATAGTTAATGGGTCTCAGGAGAGTATGTGTTGTCCATATGGCTTCCAGGCCTTATGAGCCAGAGTTACAACTGAAAATTTATAAACGAAAGAGCAGACATTATTGAGGGAACTCATAAAGAGTCTTCATATATATGGAGGTGAAACATATCACTCATTATATATAGGAATGGGCAAAAGGTAGGATTTTAAAAGTTGTATAAGGTGTAAAGTAGGCCAATGGGCCTTCAATTAAGATAGATGAAAGTCTGGGGCATGATATGGACCCATTTATAAGTCTATTTGTCATTTCACAACTTAAATATAAGTTCTCTGAGGAGCCCATTAGGCCTCTCAATTAAACCCTCGGTCTGAGGCCTATAGTGAAGATGAAAGTTCCATTGAATGCCTTTTCTAAGAGCCATTATTGGGTATTCTGAGATGTGAGATGTATGCATTAGTAATGTCTGGAACTTTGAAGGGAATAAAAAACGTCCTGGTGAGGCTTTATGTTGTTGTCTTAGTATATGTGAAGATACACGAGGACTTGATTTATAGTTTGGATTTCTGTGAGGCGAAATATCTCAGAACTCTTTATCCTGAAGAGAACAGCTCAGGAAATGGCCCAATAATTTGTAAAAATGTGCAGATGCGGTCATTTGTTGGCTAGGGCATTCAGTGCTAAAATGACTTTCTAAAGTTTGGCCAATTGTCCTGCCCATTATTAAGGAATTCTTGGTTAACTATGGAAAGCAGCAACATTCTACTGAGCTTCACCACTTACAATTGTTGTAATGCCATATGTTCAGTCTATGCAATCCCACAGCTATTCACTCAGTTAATCTCACTTAATTTATAGGTAGCCAAGGAGCTAGGCATCCAGCAACATGACATCTTGCAAGGAACTGAAGACAGACAAGGCCATTCTCTCCTGCAAGAGGAATATGCTAGAGGGCTCAGGTTCAGGTACATCCTGTACCAAGGACTACTCACTAGCCATGCTGAACTTGTGGGATGTTACTTCCATGATCCAGGTCATAATGGGCAGGATGGTATGCAGGGCTAAAGGCTTAGGGCCTTCAAGAGCTTCAATTTCCAACAGATTCCAGTATGTGGCCAGAAATTGCCACTCTAATGGTGGATGTCTGAGAAGAAAAGTTTCTTGCATTGGAAGCCCATGGGCAATTTATGTCCATCATAGCTGGTTCAGAGACACCATGAGGCATGAGAGAACACTATTAAAGCTTCCACAGTGAGGAAGCCTTTGAGGATACTAACAGGAATGTCTGTTGATTTTAATTTAGACAAAAAGATGTACTCATATTTCCAATAAGTGTGTGTCAAACAAATCTACTCAAGAGAAAGTGTCATACCTGTGTTCCTGGAGAAAGTTGGATGCAACTAAGATCTTACTTGCAAAGATGGCATGCAAAGACAAATCTGTTGAGATATCCCATGCATAGGCTAGGGGATATTGTAATACCTTCAAAGGTGAAGGCAGACTACAGCTGAGAGACTGTTGAAATAAGGACCAAACAGAACATATTCATCAAATGTACAATAGAAAAATATTTACCAGCTGCTAATTTGACAAAGTTATTAATTTCAGTAATACTGAATTTTGGCTAGGGGGGCCTTAATGGATGGGACCTGAGCATTAAGATTGCAGTAAGACATTGCAATGTACTATTCATTTTTTCTAGGTTTAAGAATAGGCAAAACTGAACCCCACGCTTCCTGGACATAAATCGTGATGCAGTGAGACCCTCTACACTCCACACCCAGGCAGATCTCCAGGTATTCAGAGCATAAGCTCACCTGGATCAGCAGCCTAAGCTGTCCTACCCTTCCTGTGAAGAGATCCTGGTGCAGGGCGTGGTGTGGCATGGTGGGGGAGCGGGCTCTCTGCTACATGCCCAGGCAGATCTCCATGCATTCAGAACACCTGTCTGCCTGGTTCACCAACCTAAGTCACCTCCACTCCTGTGCAGAGATCTTGCTGCAGGGGAACCCTCTTCACTCCACACCCAGGCAGGTCTTCAAGCATTTAGAGTACCCACTCACCTGGTTCAGCAAGCTGACCTGTCCCAACTTTCTCATGCAGAAATCCTGATGCAGAAAGGCATTCTCTACTTAATACCCCGGCAGATTTCCAGACATTCAGAGCACCCACTCATCTGGTTCAGCAGTCTAAGCCACTCCACTCCTCCTGAACATTGATTGTGGTACAGCAAGGCCCTATCTGCTCCACACCCAGGCAGATCTCCAGGCATTCAGAAAACCTCCTGGCCTGGTTCAACAGCCTGAGTTGCCCCACCAGTCCTGTGTAGACATCTTGGTGCAGTAGGTCCCTCTCTGCTCCACGCCCAGGGAGATCTCCAGGCATCTGGAATGCCCACTCTCCAGGATTAGAAATTTAATATATCCTCATCCTCTTGCAGAGAACTTGAGCCCAAGGAGGTTTCCCAGCTCCATGCATAGACATACTTCCGGGTGCTTGGTGGCCACCCACTGGCTTTTCCTTCTGTACAGGTATTTGTGCCTGCCATGGGAGACCTTTAGGAGGACCTGCCAGATCTGGCTCTACCCATCATGGCCCCCCACACCCTCAGAGCTGAGCAGACGGCTCAGACCACTGTGCATTATATGATTAAGCCCATTCTCTGAGACAACAGAGAGCTTATTCCAGTAAGCAGGGATCAAGTGTACACTCAACCATATAAGCTGCAGCCAGCTATTACCTGTACATGCTTTTTATTGGCTCATGCATTGAACTTCCCAGCCCAATATAATATCTGCTAAAAGAATTGCATAGTGCTATAGAAGCAAAACCAAAAGACCCTACTTAGCATTCTCTAGAGTTGCACCCTCTAGGGAGTGGGAAAGAAAAAAAAATATTACAGGAAAAGGGAGAAAAAGGAAAAAAAAATCTACCTGCACAAAAAGCAATTTAATAAATTAGAAGTGTGTCAGCATTTCCAGCTGACGAGGAACCAGTGCAAAACTTCTGGCACCATGAAAAATCTGAATGGTGTGATACCACAAAAGGGTCATAGTAGCTCTCCAGCAATGGTTCCTAAGCAAAACAGAAATTCAGAAATGACAGAGAAATAATTCAAAGCATGATTTGCAAGGAAGTTCAAGGAGATACAAAACAAAGTTGAAAGTCAACACAAAGAAACTTCTTTTTTTATTATTATTATACTTTAAGTTCTAGGTTACATGTGCACAATGTGCAGGTTTGTTACATATGTATACCTGTGCCATGTTGGTGTCCTGCACCCATTAACTCGTCACTTACATTAGGTATATCTCCTAATGCTATCCCTCCCCCTTCCCCTACCCCACGACAGGCCCCGGTGTGTGATGTTCCCCTTCCCCTGTCCATGTGTTCTCATTGTTCAGTTCCCACCTATGAGTGAGAACATGCAGTGTTTGGTTTTTTGGCCTTGCAGTAGTTTGCTGAGAATGATGGTTTCCAGCTTCATCCATGTCCCTACAAAGGACATGAACTCATCATTTTTTATGGCTGCATAGTATTCCACGGTGCATATGTGCCACATTTTCTTAATCCAGTCTATCATTGATGGACATTTGGGTTGGTTCCAAGTCTTTGCTATTGTGAATAGTGCCACAATAAACATACGTGTGCATGTGTCTTTATAGCAGCATGATTTATACTCCTTTGGGTATATACCCAGTAATGGGATGGCTGGGTCAAATGGTATTTCTAGATCTAGATCCCTGAGGAATCGCCACACTGTCTTCCACAATGGCTGAACTCGTTTACAGTCCCACCAACAGTGTAATAGTGTTCCTATTTCTCCACATCCTTTCCAGCACCTATTGTTTCCTGACTTTTTAATGCTCGCCATTCTAACTGGTGTGAGATGGTATCTCATGGTGGTTTTGATTTGCATTTCTCTGATGGCCAGTGATGATAAGCATTTTTTCATGGTCAACACAAAGAAACTTCTAAAGCGATCCATTAAATGAAGGAACAGATAAACATCTTAAAAAGAAATTATTCAGAACTTCTAAAATTGCAAGCTTACTTAAGGAACTTCAAAATACAATTGAAAGCTTTGTTAATAGACTGGACCATGCAGAAGAAATAATTTGAGACCTTGAAGACTGATTTTTGAACTAACTCAGCCATATAAAAATGTAGTACAAATAATTTTAAAAAGTGAACAAAGTCTTCAACAAATATGAGATTATGTAGAGCAATCAAACCTACAAATTATTGACATTCTTGAGAGAGAAGAAGAAAAAGAAAATTAAAAAATATTTGAGGGAATAATTTAATAAAATTTCTCTATCTTGTTAGGGTGGTAAACATCCAGATACTATAAATCCAGAGACTATAAATCCAGAGAATACCTGCAAGATACTATACAAACAAACATCACAAAGGCATATAGTCACCAGACTGTCCAAGGTCAACAATAAAGAAAAAATCTTAAAGGCAGCTAGATAAAAAGTTAGGATCATATACAAAGGGAATCCTGTCAGGCTAACAGCAGACTTCTCACAAGAAACATTACAAGCCAGGAGAGATCATGGGCCTATTTTCAGCATTCTTGAAGCAAAGAAATTGCAACCAGTAATTTCATATAACAAAAATGAGATTCGTAAGCAAAGGAGAAATAAATTCCAAATTACTAAGATAATGTATTACCATTGGATCAGCCTTATGCAAGATCCTTAAGGAAGTTTTAAACATGCAAATGAAATAATGATACCCACTACCACAAAAACAAACTTAAGCACATAGCCCACAGACCCTATAAAGCAACCACACAATGGAAATTACAAAGTGAACAGCTAACAACTACATGACGTA
This sequence comes from Homo sapiens, assembly GCF_000001405.40. Lineage (NCBI taxonomy): Eukaryota > Metazoa > Chordata > Mammalia > Primates > Hominidae > Homo > Homo sapiens. Next base: position 84,592,111 of record NC_000007.14, read on the forward strand.
ATCAAATCCTCTCATAACAATATTAACTTTGAATAAAAGTGGTCTAAATGCCCCACTTAAAGGGCATAGAGTGGCAAGTTAAATTAAAAAAAATTTTTAAAAGACACATCAATCTGCTGTCTTCAAGTGACCCATCTCACACATAATGAAACTCATAGGCACTAAGTAAAGGATTGAAGAAAGTTTTACCAAGAAAATGGGAAACAAACAAATAAACAAAAAGTAGGGGTGACTATACTTAGATAAAAGAAAACTTTAAATCAAAAGTAAAAAAGAACAAAGAATGGCATTAAATAATGATAAAGTGTTAAATTCAACTAAATATATATGCATCCAAAATTGGAGCACCCAGATTCTTTTAAAAAGTACTATCTATTTTGTTAATCTTCTCAAAAAACCAGTTCCTGGGTTCACTGATTTTTTTGAAGGGCTTCTCGTTTCTCTATCTCCTTTAGTTCTGCTCTGATTTTAGTTATTTCTTGTCTTGTGACAGCTTTTGGGTGTGTTTGCTCTTGCTTCTCTAGTTCTTTTAATTGAGATGTTAGGGTGTCGATTTTAGATTTTTCCCGCTTTCTCCTGTGGGCATTTAGTGCTATAAATTTCCCTCTAAACAGTGCTTTAGCTGTGTTCCGGTGATTCTGGTACATTGTGTCTTTGTTTTCATTGGTTTCAAAGAACTTATTTATTTCTGCCTGAATTTCGTTATTTACCCAGTAGTCATTCAGGAGCAGGCTGTTCAGTTTCCATGTAATTGTATGGTTTTCAGTGAGTTTCTTAACCCTGAGTTCTAATTTGATTGCACTGTGGTCTGAGAGACTGTTTGTTATGATTTCCATTCTTTTGCATTTGCTAAGGAGTGTTTTACTTCCAATTATGTGGTCAAGTTTAGAATAAGTGGCTATGTGGTGCTGAGAAGAATGTACATCCTGTTGATTTGGGGCAGAGCCAAAATTAAAAAATAGATCTAATTAAACTAAAGTGTTTCTGCATAGCAAAAGAAACTATCATCAGAGTGAACAGGCAACCTACAAAATGAGAGACAATTTTTGCAATCTATCCATCGAAAAAGGGCTAATATCCAAAATCTACAAGAAACTTAAACAAATTTACAAAAGAAAAACAAACAACTCCATCAAAAAGTGGGCAAAGATATGAACAGACACTTTTCAAAAGAAGACATTTATGTGGCCAGTAAACATATGAAAAAAAAGCTCATCATCACTGGTCATTAAAATAAATGCATATCACAACCACAATGAAATACCATCTCACTCCAGTTAGAATAGCTATTATTAAAAAGTCAGGAAACAACAGATGCTGGAGAGGATGTGGAGAAATAAGAATGCTTTTACACTGTTGGTGGGAGTGTAAATTAATTCAACCATTATGGAAGACAGTGTGGTGATTCCTCAAGGATCTAGAATCAGAAATACCATTTGACCCAGCAATCCCATTACTGGGTATATACCCAAAGGATTATAAATCATTCTATGATAAAAACACATGCACACGTATGTTTATTGCAGCACTATTCACAATAGCAAAGACTTGGAACCAACCCAAATGCCCATCAATGATAGACTGGATAAAGAAAATATGGCACATATACACCACAGAATACCATGCAGCCATAATAAAGAATTAGTTCATGTCCTTTGCAGGGACATGGGTGAAGCTGGAAACTATCATTCTCAGGAAACTAACACAGGAACAGAAAATCAATTACCACATGTTCTCACTCATAAGTGGGAGTTGAACAAGGAGAACACATGGACACAGGGAGGGGAACATCACATACTGGGGCGTATCGGGGGTGGGGGGGCTAGGGGAAGGATAGCATTAGGAGAAAAACCTAATGTAGATGACGGGTTGATGGGTACACCAAACCACCATGGCACGTGTATATGTATGTAACAAACCTGCAGGTTCTGCACATGTATCCCAGAACTTAAAGTATAATAAAAAAAAAAGAACTATTAAAAAAAAAGAAAACAAGTACTGCTAGATCTATGAAAATACTTTGACAGACAAACAATAATAGTGAGGAACTTTGAAACTCCAATGTCAGCCTTAGACTGATAATCTAGGCCGAAAACTGAAAAAGCAATTCTGGACTTAAACTCGACACTTGACCAATTAGACCTAATAGATATCTATCAAAAACTGCAATGACCAATGACATAATAGGTATTTTTCTTCTCTGAAAATGGAACATGCTCCATGATTGATTCAACCATATCCTTGACTATAAAACAAGTCTCAATACATTCAAAAAAATAAAATTATGCCAACCACACCCTTGGGCCACAGAGGAACAAATATAGAAATAGCCAGAAGATCTCCCCAAATCACAGAATTACATGGCATTGATCAACTCGCTTTTGAATGACTTTTGAGTAAACAAGAATAATAAGGCAGAAATCAAAAAGTTATTTGAAATAAATGAAAATGGAGACACAAGATACTAAAATATCTGGGTTGCAGCAAAAGCAATGTTGAGAGAAAAGTTTATAGCATTTTATATCTACCCAAAAAGTTAGGAAGACCTCTGATTAACAATCTAACACCACTCCCAGAGGAACTAGAAAAACAAGAAAGAGGAAAAGAAAAAAAAAAAAGCTACCAGAAAAAAAAGGAATAACTGAAATTAACACAGAACTGAATGAAATCAGACCCAAAAGTCCATACAAAGAATCAACAAAACCAAAAGTTGGTACTTTGAAAGGATAAACAAGATTTTTATCTTGTATATCAAGATATTTTATCTTTTATATATTTTATCATGTATATCAGTGTATATCCTCTGAAAGGATATATACTGCTATATTCATTTACAAACAGAAAAAGAGAAAAGATTGAAATAAGCACAATCAGAAATGACAAAGAGCACGTTACCACTGACCACACAAAAAAACAAAAGGTCCTCTAAGTCTGTTACGAACACCTTTGCCCATACAAACTAGAAAATATAGAGAAAATGGATAAATTCCTGGAAATAGAATTTCCCAAGGTTAAATCAGGGAAAAATAGAAACCCTGAACAGACCAATTTCACATTCTAAAATTGAATAAGTATAAACACCCTGCCAACTAAAAAAAAGTTCTGGGCCAGATGGATTCACAGCTGAATTCTGCCAGACATACAAAGAAGACATGGTACTAATTCTACAGAAACTATTCCAAAAAATCGAGGAGGAGGGACTCCTTCCTAATTCATTCTGTGAAGTCAACATCATCCTGATACTAAAACCTGGCAAAGACACAACGAAGAAAGAAAACTATAGGCCAATAACCCTGACGGACATAAATGCAAAAATCCTCCACAAAGTTCTAGCGAGCTGAATCCAACAGTACATCAAAAATTTCAATCATCATGATCAAACATGCTTCATTCCTGGGATGCAAGGTTGTTTCAACATATGCAAATCAATAAATGTGATTGACCATACAAACAATTAAAACAAAAGCCATATGATCATCTTAATAGATGCAAAAAAAGCTTTCAGTAAAATCCAACATCCTTTTCATATGGTTTGGATTTGTGTCCCTGCCCAAAGCTCACGTCAAATTGTATTCTTCACTGTTGGAAACGGGGTCTGGTGAGAGGTGATTGGATCGTGGGGGTGGTTTCTAATGGGTTAGCACCATCCCCCTAGTGCAGTCTTGTGATAGAGTTCTCATGAGATCTGGCTGTTTAAAAGTGTGTGGCACCTCCCAGCTCTATCTCTCTTCCTCCTGCTTTGGCCACGTGAAGTGTCAGCTTCCCCTTCACCTTCTGCCATGATTGAAGCCAAATAGATGCTGCCATGCTTCCTGTACAGCCTGCAAAACCATGAACCAATTAAACTTGTCTTTGTCATAAATTATTCAGTCTCAGATATTTCTTCATAGCTATGTGAGAACAGACTAATGCACCTTGACAATAAAAACCCTCAACAAATTAGACATCAAAGGAACACACCTCAAAATAATAAAAGCCATTTATGACAATCCCAAAGCTAACATCACACTGAATAGGCAAAATCTCAAGCATTCCCCTTGAGAACTGGAAAAAGTTCAACATAGTAGTGAAAGTTTTAACAAGAGAAGTAGAGCAAGAGAAAAAAGTAAAAGGCACCCAAATAGAAAAAGAATAAGTCAAATTATTTCTCTCCACTGATGATATAATTCAATAACTAAAAATCCCTAAAGAGACTGCTTCAAGGCCCTTGGAACAGATAAAGCACTTTGGGAAAGTTTCAGGGTACAAAAATCAATGTACAAATATCAGTAGCATTTTTATATGCCAATAATGTTCAAGCTGAGACTCACATCAAGAATGCTATCCCATTTACAACAGACATACAAAAAGTAAATACCTAAGAATACATCTAACTGAGGTGGCAAATGATCTTTATAAGGAAAACTATAAAACACTACTGAAAGATATCATAGAGGACACAAATAAATAGAAGAAACTTTCCATGCTCATGGATTGGAAGAATCAGTATCATTAAAATGGCCATATTGTCCAGAGGCATCTACAGACTCAATGCTATTCCTGGCAAACTACAAATGTCATTTTTTACAGAAATAGAAAAAAAAACTATTCTAAAATTTTATGGAATATAAACATAGCCTAAATATCCAAAACAATTCTAAGCAAAAAGAATAAAGCTGGAGGCATCACGTTATCTAACTTCAAAGTGTACTATAAGGCTACAGCAATCAAAACAGAATGGTACTGGTACAAAAACAGACACATAGACCAATGAAACCGAATAGAGAATCCAAAAACAAGACATTATTCCCAAAGCCATCTGACCTTTGACAAATTTGACAAAAATAAGCAATGCAGAAAGAACTCCCTATTCAATAAATGGTACTGAGAAAGCTGGCTAACCATATTTTAAAAAAATGAAACTGGACCCGAACTTTCCATTACATACAAAATTAACTCAAGACGGATTAAAGAGTTAAATGTAAAAATTCAAACTATAAGAATCCTAGACAAAAACCCAGGAAACACCATTCTGGACATCAGCCCTAAGAAAGAATTTATGATTAAGTCTTTAAAAGCAATTGCAATGAAAAGAAAAAGTGACAAGTAGAAACTAATTAAACTAAAGAGCTTCTGCATGGTGAAAGAAACGATCAACAGAGTAAACATATAACCTACAAATAGGGAGAAAATATTCACAAACTACATATCTGACAAAGGTCTAATATTCAGACTCTATAAAGAACTTAAGCAACTGAATAAGGAAAAATCAAATAACATTAAAAAGTTGGCAAAAGATATGAACGGACACTTCTGAAGACATGTAAGCAACTAACAGACATGAAAAAATGCTCAACATCACCATTCATCAGAGAAATGAAAATCAAATTCACAATGAAATACCATCTCACTCAGTCAGAAGGGATATTATTAAAGCATCAAAAAACACAAACAGTGGTGAGGCTACAGGTGAAAGGGAACATTGTATTCCCACACTGTTTGTAGGAATAGAAATTAATTTGGCTATTGTGAAAAGCAGTTGATGATTTCTCAAAGAACTTAAAAAAGAACCACCATTCTACCCAGCAATCCCATTATTGGATTTATATCCCAAAGAAAACAAATCATTCTACCAAAAGACGTATGCATTCACATATTCATTGCAGCACTATTCACAATAGCAAAAGCATGGAATCAACTTAGATGCCCATCACCAGTGGACTGGGTAAAGAAAATATGGTACATGTACACCATGGGGTGTTATATAGCCATAAAGAATGAAATTATGTCCTTTGCAGCAATGTGGATGCAGCTGGAGGCCACTGTCCAAAGTGAATTAATGCAGGAATAGAAAACCAAATACTGCATGTTATCTCTTAAAAGCGGGGGGTAAACACTGGGTACTCAGGGATATAAAGACAACAACAATAGAAACTAGGGACTATTAAAGAGTTGAGGTAGGGAGGGAGGGAGGTAAGTCTTGAAAACCGTTTGGGTACTATGCTTAGCACCTGGGTGACAGGATACTTTCTACCCCAAACCTCAGCATCATACAATATACCCATTTAAGCAACCTGCATGTGTACCCTGTGAATCTAAAATAAAAGTTGATAAATAAATAAATAAATGAATAAAGAATAAACAATAGGCAAAACTGTCAAATGGAAAAGCTAATTAAGACTTACATAGTAAGTTTTGATTCTTTAAATTCCTATTTTACTTACATTAGGTCATATTAACTATTTTAACTGGAATCCGTAAGTAATATTTTGTCATGCCAATTTGTAAAAATTCCAAAGATTTAAATCAATTTTAATTTATTAGTCATTGTATCAGTGATTCTATGCCCACTATGAGATATTTTAGGACATTGGGTACTATCATCTTGGGAAATTTAGGCACGGCTACAATTAAAGTGAGGTATACCGACATTTCCTCCATTATTTACTTAGTTATTTTCCTAAGATTTTAGAAGTTAACATGTTTATATTCAGTGGGACCCCAGATATAACTGTAATTTGAGCTCCAGAATTAAGTCCACAAATCTTTGCCATTTGGTGTATTATAGTAAAAGTTAATTAAGAACTGATGTTACAGAAAAATAAAAGCCAATCAGCACCCTTTTAAATATGTTTCTTATATAAATTTTTTTTCTAAACTTTGTATTTCCAAATGGGCCAAATTGTAGAACTTTGTTTCACTTTGATAATAAATCGCTCTGTCTCTCTAACACACACACACACACACACACACACACACACACACACACACACACATACACACACACATCACATATCCCTTTCCTCCTTGTATTTAGGTTTCCTTCTTTCTTTGGTGTTATTGTTGTTGATTTGTTGAACTGGATATATTTTGATGTCATCTCTTTGCAGTAGTCGTAACACATATATTATACATAATATAAATTATATTTCATGTATATAAATTATATATAATTTATATATTACATATATTATGTTATATACTATTATATATAAATATAAATATTATATAAAATTATATACTATTATATATAAATATAAAATATATAAAATTATATACTATCATATATTTATATATAATAAATATAAAATATATAAAATTATATATAATATATAATTTATATATAAAATATGTGTATATATTATATATATATAATTTTTTTTTCTCTAGAGAATTTCCAGTTAGTATTGTCAGGGTTAGGAATCTCCTCCACAGTAAGGGTTGTATGTTTTAAAGACCCTGGGCCTGGCTTACGTTTTGATTGAACTAATCCTTTTGTTGTGGCAAAAGGTACAGGAGTGTTTTCCCTTGCAACCCTGATAATTAGGCTACTATTTCAACACAGCCATAAGTAGGATAGTTGTATAACAGAAAAGCACTAGGTCTCAGAGCCCAGAGATGGTTGGATTGAAACCACCCTGTAATGTACTCTGAATTTTCTCTTTGATATGGTATATTAGTCAGGGTTCCCTAGGGGGACTGAACTAAAAGGATAGATACATATACACAAAGGGGAGTTTATTAAGTATTAGCTTACATGATCACAAGGTCCCACAGTAGGCTGTCTTCAAGCTTGAGGAGCACGGAGAGCCATTCTGAGTCTCAAAAGTGAAGAACTTGGAGTCTAATGTTTGAGGGCAGGAAGCATCTAGCACAGGAGAAACACGTAGGCTGGTAGTCTAGGCCAGTCTTAACTTTTCACTTTTTTCTGCCTGTTTATATTTGCTGCCAGCTGATTAGATTGTGCACACCAGATTAAAGGTGGGTCTGCCTTCCCCAGCCCACTGACTCAAATGTTAATCTCCTTTGGCAACACCCTCACAGACACACCCAGGATCCATACTTTTCATCCTTCAATTCAATCAAGTTGAGGCTCAGTATTAACCATCACGTATGGCTCTGCTTTTCTTTTCACACTGTCCACTCTATTCCTAATCCCTTCCCCACTTATTTCCCTTGTTTTGGGTTTCTAGCTGTGTGAAGCTATCATTCTGTTTTTGTCATCTTTCGGTGATTTATAATGTGGGCCTTTGGGTGTTTACAGAAGAGGACAGGAGTCTTGGTGACTTGCCTTTTGGGGGCTGATATGGCCTGGATACTTGTCCCCTTCAAATCTCATGTTGAAATGTAATTCCCAGCATTGGAGGTGGGACCTGGTGGGAGGTGAATGGATCATGGGTTCATCCCTCATGAATGGTTTAACACCATCCTCTTGGTGATAAGTTAGTTCTCACTCAGCGAGATCATGTGAAAACTACTTGTTTAAAAGTGTGTGGGACCTCCCACTCTCTCTCTTGCTCCTGCTCTCGCCATGTGACATTCCTGGTCCTGCTTTGCCTTCCACCATGAGTGAAAGCTCCCTGAAGCCTTAGCAGTAGCTGAGCAGATACTGATGCCGTGCTTCCTGTGCAGCCTGCAGAACTGTTAGCCAATTTAACCTATTTTCTTAATAAATTATCCAGCGTTGGATATTTCTTTATAGCAATGCAAGAATGGCTTAATACAGTGGTCATCTCTTTTTTCAAAATTTCTCAGTAAGTCCCTCTTGGAGCCATCTGGGTTTGTATTTCAGAGAGCTCTAGCAGCCTATCCTTGGGACAGGTAACTCCCTGGTCCAAATTTAGTCCCTTCTCATGTTGATATGAAGCAGAATTTAATAAGACCCAAGTACACTAGCTGAGTGTTTGACACTTAGTAATTGAGTCACTTTGGCTGGTGTTTTGCAGGCCCCAGGAATAAAGTATGTATTCCCTTACCCCTTTGAATTAAACACTAGCCTCCACGGTTGAATCTACAATATCCCTGGGGGTTTGGGAAATGTGAAGTTTTCTGGTGTCAGCAGCAGTGTATGAAGCAACAAAGAAGGCCAGCAAGTCAGCTACCCCCACTTGAGCAACACTGACCTCAAGATCATGATGCCATTTAAATTATTAATTGTATTATTATGATTATTCTAATATATTATAACATACACTATGTATAACAGTAAAACATAATGTAACAATTATTAGTAGCACTATATTATAATATACGATTGTAATATTTTATTGATAATTAATTATGATTACAGTTATGATTATGCATCCCTGTAACTATATTAAACACCATTATATTCTACAATTTTAAAAAATCAAAGTGGCTATATTAATACCAAATGAAATAGATTTAAGGATAAGGAACTCTACCAGAGACTAAGAGAGATATTACATAATTATAAAAGTGACAATCCATAAAGAAATCATAGTAATCCTGTGTGTACATAACATATAACAAAGCTGAAAATTATGTGAAGCAAAAACTGATAGAAATGAGAGGAGAAACAGACAAATCCACAAAGATAGCTGGAGAAGTCAATACCCTCCTCTCAACAATTGACAGAACAACAAAAAAGAAGATCAACAACGATACAGAAGAATTCAACAATGTCATTATCTGACAGTATCAAATAGACCTTAATGGGAAATTCACCCATCAACATCAGAATACCCATTCTTTTCATGCATCCACAGAATATATAATGATATAGACCATAGCCTGGGACATAAGACAAATCTCAACAATTTAAAGAACTAAAATCATACAAAGTTTCTTTTCTGACCACAATAGAATCAAACAAGAAAGGAATAACAATTTATTTCATTGATATGAAAATATTCACAAAGTAGCTAACAACCATGTAAATAAATGGAAATATTTTCTGATATTTTTGCTACCCAAATCCATCACTATTTTTAGGTGTTTGTGTTCATCTTCAAAATGAATAGGATGTTCCTCTAGATAAGACAAATATATAGTAAAAATCACAGACTTGTATCCAAATTTCATATAGAGCTCTTAGAGGCTGTGTTATATTGAATAAGTTATTCATTATTTTTCACAGATAGTACAAAAATGAAGATATCTACATTCCAAAGTTGTGCAAAATTAATGAAATAATCTCCGTAAATGCAAAGTATAATACTTTGATCCTACCAAGTAATATAATAAACATTGTTTCTTCCTCATTTTACAAGCTATGGCTTCTTAGAGATTGCAGACACAATACTGAGAAATGATGTTTTCAGCTAAAATACAATCTTGGAAAAATATTTTCTAGATTCTATTATTGCTTTTATTATTATATTACCAGATATATGATGTGCAATATAAGAACTGTGGAAATATGTCCAAAGTTATGAAACTACTTAGTTTTACAATAAGAAAATGAATAAATAAGGGTTTTTAGGCATTATTTTTATTTAAAGTATGTTAACATTGTGTACAACAGAATTTTAAAGGTGTAGAAACTACTATTTGATTATCTCTCATCAGTTTAATTCTAAACATCCTTTCTTTCATTCATCTGTTTAGAGAGAATAAAGGGAAAAACAGTAAGCCAAATGAGACATACATTGTTAATGGAATTATTTCTTTTCAAGATTGTATACATGTAATTCTGAAATAAAGTTCAACAAGCACTACACAAAGTAAAAATAAAATCGTGAATATGATTTTGGGAAATGTGCTTTTGAAATTTAGGAAGAGAAAGAACAAGCTTATGTCTGTATGGTTAAGGTTCAAAAAAAGCTCTATAATGTAAGTTCTATTTCTGATAGTTTTATACTAATGAATAGGATTTTAGAAGACAAAGATGGAGAGAGTATTCTAGATGATGTCAATATTATAAAGAAAGCCAAATTCAGAGTGTGAGCATGTCCTGGCATAATAAGTATGCCAGTTTGACAGAACAGAGGTTATTGGCATTGGAATAGTGAATGACATTCTGAAGAGAATCTGGTATTATTCAAATTTATTGGATTATTGTGTACAAATACATCCTTCTTCTATTTTTAAAAATCTGCTTAGAGTGGGCTAGTATTGTGTTTAATAATATAAACTTGAAAATATGAAAGATGCTTGTCTAGATGCAGTTAGTATGTGCCTCTTCCACAGAGAGGAACCAGAATGGTAAGTATATATTCACATTTCAGATAGTTTAGGAGAAAATGCCTGGATTCACTAGAGAAGAAACAGGAAGCACCAGGGAGTAAGTAGAGGATCCAAGGCAGGTTGCCTGGCTGCCATGAGAGGCTCCTGCACATGGGAAAACAGTAAGAGAGAAACCCTCTAGGCTCAGATTTTATAATCACGGCTATGAGAGAAAATTTTGATCCACTGAGGACTTCAGCCTGATATACAGAGCTGCCTAAAGATTGCAGAGAGACTTTACTCCAGAAGAGGCACCCAAAATAGAATCTTACAGGCATCTGAGCCTAGTTTAGCCTCAGCTGGCTGCCATTTTGAGAGTATAGATACAGGGGATCTACAAACATTGGCTGCTGCCACTGTACTGCGGAGGGAGAGGGGGAAACCAGGTGCTCCCATGCACTGCAGGAAGGTCCCTACCACCCTACTGTGGACTGATATTAAGATTGAGATGTGAGTGAAGTGCACTCCCCAGAGTTTCTTGCCTATGCTACTTGCCTTGAAGTGACCCTGTCCTCTCTGGTTTGAGGCCATTTTGAGAATTTAAAGCGGCATTGCACTCCACGGCCTCCTGGCCAAGTTAAGGCTGATGTAGCTGTAGCTGCCACCTGGACAAGGAGTGGCAGGGAACCAGGCTATCGTAACCAAGCAGAAATTCTGGAGCTAAAAAATTCACTGAAGGAAATACAAGGCACATTCAAATGCTTCAATAATTGACTATACCAAACACTTACACACACACACACCCTCCCCCTACCCCCGCAAAAAAAAAAAAAAAAAGAGAAAAAAATGTAAAACTTGAACAGGTATTTTGAAATAATACAGTCAGACAAAAATAAGAAGAAAAAAAAGAATGTAAAAGAATAAACAAGGCCTTCAAGATGTCTCGGACTACATAAAGCAACTGACCTTATGATTATTGGTATTCCCAAGGAGGAAGAGAGATTGAGAGGTTTAGAAAACATGTTAAAGGGAATAATCAATGAAAACTTCCTACATCTAGCAAAAGAGTCAGACATTCAGACACAGGAGGCCCAGAAATCCCTGGGAAAAGACGTTGCAAAAAGAACTTCACTAAGGCATATTATGTTCACAATGCCTAAAGTCAAAGTGAAAGAAATAATTTTAAAATTAGCAAGAGAAAAGCATCTAAATACCTACAAAGGAAACACCATCAGGCTAACAGATTTTTCAGCAGAAACATTACAGGTCAGAAGAGACATTTTTAAAGTGCTGAAAGCAAGCAAGCAAGCAAGCAAGCAAACAAACAAAAAACCTGTCAGCCAAAAGTTTTATATCCGGCCAAAGAAGCTTAATAAATGAAGGAGAAAAAAAGTTTTTTCCTAAAGAAGCTAATAATAAGGGAATCTATCACCACAAGTCCAGTCCTACAGGAAGTTCTGGAAAGGGTCTTAAACATGGAAATTAAAGGTAGACATTCACCATCGTAAAAACACACGGTAATATAAAACTCACAGCTTTTATTAAACCAATTACACAAAGGCAAAAGAGAAAGGAATCAAATTGACAACACAACAGAATCTCATGAAATCACAAAGACAAAAAGACAGACAAAAAGAATAAAACAATGAATTTATTTTAAAAACTTGAAAACAACAATATGACAGGAACAAAACCTTACATATCAATATTAACTTTAAATATAAACAGATTAAATGTTCTACTTAAAAGATACAGATGGGTAGAATGGATACAGCCGTGATCAAACTATCCGCTGCCTACAAGAAACTCACCTTACCCATGAAGACACATATAGACTTTTTTAAATACCAGATAAAACAGTAAATAAGCCAACTGACCTTCAACAAAACATACAAAAACATAAATTGGGGAAAGGATACCCTATTCAATAAATGGTGCTGGCAAAACTGACAAGCCACATGTAGAAGAATGAAACTGGATGCTCATCTCTCACCTTACACAAAAATCAATGCAAGATAGATCAAAGACTTAAATCTAAGACCTGAAATCATAAAATGTCTAGACAATAATATCAGAAAAACTCTTCTAGATATTGGCTTAGGTAAGTAATTCATGACTAAGACCCCCAAAGCAAATGCAACAAAAACAAAAATAATAAATGGGACCTAATTAAACTAAAAAGCTTCTGCACAGCAAAAGAAATAATCAATAAACAGACAACCCACACAGTAGGAAAAAAATATAATAATAGTAGGGGACTGTAAATTATGTTGTATTTGACATGTCTTTCAAATACCCTAAACAAAGAATGGAAATGCTTTGTATTTCTTTTTGACCAAACAGTGATTCTAGAATGTACGCCACTCTATGGTAAGTCATTTTAATCTGTTTGTCTAGACATGTGAAACCAAAATGTTTAATAAGAAAATAAACTTGGAGTGCAAAGAGCTTGGCATTAATAAACTGGGAAGCATTGGTAAGATACATTTTGATGAGGAGATGTGTTAGGGATAAGATGTCAAGTATAGGGCAATTCCAGAAAGTCCTCCATGTGGTCTCTAGGAAATTTGGAATTGTCACACAGAGACAGAAGAACAAACAGCCAGTGTTACAACCGATACAAGTCAAATGCAACTCATCTGGCAAACTTGCCTATAACAATGCTTATCTATAAACAGTTTTAGTGTCATGTCAAATAATGTGTTTAAAATTTAAATTTTAACTAAAGTTTATTAAACAAATATTAACTGGTTCTTTGGTTTTCACACTGTTTTAAATGGAAAGCATAATAATTTCCTTAGGAAATTTCTGGGAGCCGTTCTGGAAAAGAAAACTGTGGAAGAATATTTGTTCATTTTAATATTCATCACTTAAGAGTAGGTTTCTGAGAGTAGATTGTCAGAAACAATAGAGTAGGGTTTCCAAAAACCTAGAAATATTTAGAAAAACAGTTATGTAAAATACATGAATAGCCAGGTGCAGTGGCACACACCTGTAATGCCAGTACTTTGGGAGGATGTGGCAGGAGAATTGCATGAGGCCAGGAGTTCAAGATCAGCCTGGCCAACATAGCAAGACCTTATATTTATAAAACGTAAAATAAAAATAAATATATGAAAAATAAATAAAATATATGAATAGACAAATATTTATGAACACATACCCATTCCTACATATATCTTATATCAGTAATATGTTAATATATTTATAATATATATAAAATAAGTAAAGAATACAAATTACTTTTAGTTGAAGAAAAATGATGTCATATGTATAACAAATGTGTGCACACACACATATTCATGCACTTAAAAATTAACATTCTAACCAATTTCTGAAAACCTGTAAACATTTTGAATGCAGATTAATTTCAGGATTATTAGCTAGAGTTTTCATGATCAAGTCTTCGTTTAGGAATTGTCTATGGAATAAGAAATATATAATGGAGCTTAGTTTCTCCAACACACTAAGAATCTTTTCAATTAAGCTATTTGTTTGTAAAATCAAAATGGAATGACATTCATTTCCTGTAGTGAAGGTTTAGTTCCCCTAAAAGCTGCCAATCACTTTTCTCACATTCAAGTGTGGTTGGTCTAATTTTTTCTTTACCAATGCATTCAAATTATTAAGATCTGGCTAGACTTTTGGTTGGCAACAAGAATGACTGAGAATCAAGATTAAAAAATTATGTATATCTATACTTAAATAATTTCTTCTTACTGTTTCTTCTGGTTATTCTTCTATTCACTGTTCTTCAGGAAATTGTAAAATGAAATATCTTGAGTCGCAACAAAATGTGTTTCAGTGTGCCATCTTTACAAACAGATTTTCCCAAATTTATACTGATTGCATTGAATAGATTGCTTCAAAATTAAATCAAATTTGTAAAATCTAGGAAAACTAAAATTACTAAAAAGCTTTAGAAAAACTAATAAATGAAACATTCTCTTAAAAGTTTGACATAGGTTAGGAGACAGACATGTTTTGAGGACTTTTGGAGAAGTATCTAAATACTACTTCTAAGACTAAGTTGTACATATAGAAAGAAATGTTCGTAATGCTCATTCTCATTATCCTTCAGATAAAGAACGACTAATGGGAATGTTACTCATTTTCTGTATATTTCTATTGGCATATTCTATCTTTGCCCTTATTGTACTCTCATTCTCTAGTCCTGTTTAACTAACAGTTTCATCTTTGATTGCTTTTTCAGTATTTTCCTCAAGAAATATTTTTTATTAAATCATCAGAAAACCATTTAAATGTGCAAGAATAGTGCAGTAAATAAGTAACATAAACCCTAGAATACTACAAGACTGTGCTGAATGTTAGACAAAAGATAAACAAGTAGCATTTGTCAGAGGCCAAGTGCACAAGAATAAAAAGGACAGTTTTTAAAGAGGTCAGTAATTTTCTTTTTGTTTAGAGAACCTATTCATCTCAAATATAGGTTATTGCCCTTTGGGTGGACCCTTGACCAAGATGGGTTAACTTCATTTTCTCTCCTAGAAATTTAAAATGAATGGGCGCAACCCATGTATTTGGGACTCTAGATCACCATTTGGGGGTGATCATTATGTGTGTGTCATTTATCATGTGCAAAATGATTAATAAAACATATTTAAAAGAGAAGCAGAGACGAAAGCCATTGAAAAACTAGAAAGAAAAAAAAATGCTTTGGTTTCTGCATTCTGTTTGTCTTAGTCCATTTGGGCTGCTATACCAAAGTGCCATAAACTGGGCTTGGGAGGTAAAAGTTTAAAAACACAGGCTGTATTGAACTCACAATTCTTGTTAATAGAAAAAGAGGAATTTGGAGCTCCAGGGAAAAATCCAATGAAAAAGGGTTGTCAAAGAGGAACAAATAGGTAAAGGTTAAAGACTGCAGAAAAATTAAAAGAGCCAAGAAAGATATTGTCGATGGAGGTGCAGTTTAAAGAAATTTTCAATAAAAGAAATTTCAAAAAGAAATTGTAAATTTGTTTTGTAGTGCAATATAATATCCCCTCTCTCCCCTAGCACTTCATCACTATCTATTAAGCTAATTATCTTTTGTGTGTGTGTGAGAGAGATTATGTATTTGTTTGTGTGTGTGTCTGAGGGAAGGCAATGAAAAAGAGGTGAGATTTCAGGTTCATATTAATATGGTAACTTCCTTAAAGGAATCAGAGTCAGTTGGAGCCCTGAGAGTGTTATTGTTTCCTTCCCCCACCTCTCCATCCAAGAAATTCTTGGAAACTTTGGGGGAACAGTTTAGACATCTTCAGATCCTACAAGTGAGGAGTTTGATGTAACTTTTCCTGAATTTGAAAAAGTAGAGTTTTTGAGTTTATATCTGGGTTGCATTAATATTAAGCCTCCTTTTAACTGAATGTTTTTTGACTGAGCTCTGTTCTTTTAAACCAGACAAGTCCACTTCATTGAAGAACTTGAGTAGTCACCTGGAATTGTAACAAGTGTTAGCTCTGATTTTAACCAGATGATCTCAAGTGCAAAGGATACATAAGGAATTCAGATTAATAATTATGACACAGTGTGATAAATGCCATAATAGTAGAAGCATGCAACGTTATAACAGTAAAGAGAAGACACAATCAAGTATTTATGAGATGCAGTAGTTCAGAAATGTTACAGGAAAGGGAATCCATAATTAAATCTGGATTGGTAATTTTAAGATTAGACAACTGACTGTGAAAAATGAGTAAATGGCACAGAGATATAAAAGAACTTAAAATATTTAAGATATAAGTATTTTTATGTATTACATAATAACTTAATATAAGATATTAAATGATTTGGTTTCGATTGAACACCAACTGTGTTTGTTTCTAATTGATTTTATGCAGCTTAAATAAGGAAGATTCTGAAGGCAAATGGAACAAAAAATTAAATGGATATATTTAAATCCTGTCAAAGGCAAGTTTATGATGAGAAAATCCACTTTGGTGGCAGTATGCAGTATTTATCATCTGGACAATAGATACTATGGGGTAAGGAGACAAGTTGGGAACTGTTTATAAAAGAAAGGATAAGTTTTAGGGTCATATAGAAGGCAAAATTAATACAACTTAGTATCGGTGACTAAATATGTGAGTATAAACTTAATTAGCAAATGATGGAATGGGGTAAGACTGCTGGATGAAACTCCAAGGCTTCTGTCTTGGGTGACTGGCCTCATGACATTGCTTTCAATGAGATAGAAACTAGGGTCAGTTTATGCTATATTCCTTCTATGAATAGTCAAGAGATATAATACATATATAATAGAATAATTCTGAAGATCAAGAGAGCCAAAGACATTTGTGAATCAAAAGCATACAAGCAATAGTCAAAACCATAAACAAGAATAAAATTTTATCAGAGCACATAGTTTGAGACGAAAATAAGGATTGCCAGAAAACTAGTATTTTCCAAGGGGGAAGAAAACAAAAGGAGTTAGAACCAGGCTAACAATAGAAAGCCAAAGATTATTGACACGGTGGTCAAAGAAGTTGAGGGCTAAAGAAGAGGAAGGCCTGCAACTGATTAAAGATATAAAAGTGTCAAACAGATTTAATAATTAATTAAATACATTGACAAATGGCTTTTTAGAGCTTCCTATTGGCTGACTCGATTGATGCAAACCTCTGCAGACAGAATGGTAGCTCAGAGGCCAAGTCCTTATATTTGTGGGTGTTACTGTCCAATGACATAGACAAATAATGAATAAATCAACAGACAAAGATTATGATTTAAGTGGCAAGAGATGGTCTCTTTCGAGTTGATATTGAGTTTATTTGAATTAGTATTTTAGCTTAGAAATGATAAGCTAGGATAAGAAGGAGCTAACCAGGAAGAAAAATCATGCCAGGAGGAGGAAAAAGTGTGGTTAAAAGGTTTCAGACAGGAAAGAGGATGGCGTGTTTTCAGAAACATGAATAGAACCCACACAGTTGAAGTGATGAGATGGGAGGAGTAAGCACATCCAAGTCATGTTTGTTTTAAGCTTGGAGAGACATCAACTTGGGACATTTTCCTAAAAAAATTAAGAAGAGTACTTATGCTGAGGTAGAAATCTGTTAAGACTCAAAGATTTTGTAATAAACTAGGAAAAATGCATATGTTCTATTAAAAGAATTGACAATGAAACAATTACTATTACTTTGGAATATGAATTTTTCTGATGTGTATTTCAACACCTTCCCCTAGTTCTTCTCTGTGAAAAAGTTTTTCAAAGTATATGAATCTGGTATGACCTACACTGGAAACTGCCTACCTGCCAGAAGGCGGGTGACTGGCCCAAAGTGAACACATTGAAGTGCTTCCCTGCCATTTTTCATTAAGTATACCACATCTTCGGGGATAACCAAGGGAGTAATTGCCTGCCTCATGGAGAAGCTTTTCAGAGGAATGAAATTAACACTGAGAGCAGCACAGACAGACAGGAGATGAAGAGAGTTGTTAGGATTTTCAAGTCTTTGCGGACAGTCGTCAATTAGACCTCTGGCTTTCTCGAAGTTTACCCATGTGAGCTAGGAACTTCATCTTTTCATCTTTTTGTTTGTTTAAACCATTTTTAGTTTCACCCTTTTGAAACAATATTGTGCTGACTCATATGATAATTAAATTGGCTGGAGGTGGTCTCTTTCAAATCGATATTGAGCTTATCTAAGATGGTATTTTAGTTTAGAAATGAAAGGTAAGAAGGAGCTAACCAGGAAGAAAAATCATGTCAGGAAAATTATGCCCAAAAAATCATGCCATTTATCTAGCATGGTTTGAAAAAAGGGAAAAAGTTACTTGGGAACAATCACATAAAGCTCAGAATAATCAAATATGATGGGGATAATAATACTGTCTCAGTTGCATAATTTGCTTTGTAGAAGATTGCTGTTATTATAGCAGGAATAGAAAGAAAATAAGAGTCTACAGTCAGCTTTGACATTCAGAGTGAGAACAAATAGCAGAGATGAGCAAAGAATCAGCCATGGACAAGCCTTACCTTCCCCAGGGCCATGAGAACTAGAACTCTTCCCCTCACAAACATGCATTTCAGAAGGAGAGGAGGGGAAAACAGTCGCTTAGGGACTGGAACTTTACATTGACTGAAAGCTTAACCGAGATGGACTAAGTTATTCCTATTGGTAAGTTTATGGATTTCTAATAAAATGTGGGAGGTTTATGAGAAAAATTAGAACAATTATAAAAAATACAGTTTTTAAAATGTACATCTTTATTGTCCATGTGAGTGTAAATGTATGATCCTTCCAGACTAGCAATAAAAGGGGAAAAAACCCAGATAACTTTATTAAAGAATCACCAATGAGGTGCTCAAGTTAATACATATTTAATAATGTCCAGCTGTTAGCCAGATTCCCCCACCACTATTACCCACCTGCTGGCAGAAAGTTTTTATTATTTTTAATTAAAAAATTATCTTTTCATCCCTACTCCTGAAATAAACATGCCATCACATGACCACTCATTTTGTCAAGAGTTTATAACATTCATAAATGGCTATGCTTTGATCTGGCAGGTCCCCTATCTCTAGTAAAATCTCACATTCATTTTTATTAAGTACCTTTGTGACATCGCTTTTTATTACTGCTGTGAAATAAAAATCTGGGCATCATTCAGGTTCAAGGTCACTTCTGTAAAAGAGGCAAAGTGCAGGACTTGACAAGCTTATGAAAATTATAAGAGGGATTAATAGTATCAAGGGATCATTAAGGTCTCTATGATTGTACAAAGACTATAAAGTTCCCGTGCCTAATAGAGATTATCTCAGTTTCTTGCTTTCTTTTTTTTCTTCTAAAAATATGCTCCCCAAAAGATGACCATTTAGAATACTAGTTGTATATATATCCACTGAAAGTGCATTATTTCTTTCTCTTATGTAAACTGTATTTAGACAAAATTTAATTGTTTATTATTTAGGAAAAATTAAAGCTTTTATTCAATATAAGAATTTCATGGAAATTGACTTTATAAGTTAATTTTTGTATTTCAAACAATGTCAGTTTGTTAATACTTATGTTTCAGCACATTTAAAACTTGATGCTACAGAGCATTTTGTGGTACTTCTAGTACTCTTGTGGCTAGATGTTCCAGAGGAGAGAAGTGGAATAAAATAGAAAAACTGAAAATGGCATGCTAACGGGGAAGGGCTAATTATCTA
Organism: Homo sapiens; assembly: GCF_000001405.40. Classification (NCBI taxonomy): domain Eukaryota; kingdom Metazoa; phylum Chordata; class Mammalia; order Primates; family Hominidae; genus Homo; species Homo sapiens. The sequence goes on from NC_000007.14 coordinate 84,612,155, forward strand.
CCTTTCCTGTCTAAGTAAAGTTAAATAACACTATGAAGAGAAATTCTGAACATCACAAAGAACATAAGAGCTTTCTGGTATGTTTTATTAGGGATATCCTGAAAGTTCTTTTATGCTGCATTTAAATTTAAAAGATAAAAATCACAGCAACAATTCAGGGTTAAATTTGAGTTCAAAGTTTAAAGTGCACGTAAGAATGCCCAGGATTAAAAATAACTTGCAAATTGTTTGATAATAACTATAATTTTCTCCTCATTTTTGTTCTGTTAGTGAATTATATCACCAGATAAGCAATTTAAGATGCTTGAATAAATATTCATTGTATTTACAAAAGAAAATCACATAGAGCAATAACACTCATCTTTATTTACTCTTTTATTCACAATGGATAAACAGATATGCCTGAACAATATTTTCAGGTAGAATTGACAAGTAGATGAAAAAATAAGTCAGTTTAAATACTAGAGTTCATTACGACTGCAAGCTTTTCTAAATCTGTATTGTGTTATTATAATCATACACTTAGAATAATTTAGTTATGATTTTATTAAAATATAGTATTTTACTCATTCCCAATGGTGTTATAAAGAAATTGCAGGACATTTGGAAAGACTTTAAATACTTATAAATACTTAACACTTTTTTAGTATTTAAAAACATACTAAAGACTCCCTCTTCCCAAGAAATACATTTCTGGAAAGTCAAATTAAATTAATATTGTAAGTAAAGACAAACTGAAAATGTATTCTATGTAAATCTATCTTTCCTTATGATTATAATTCATATGTAGATAGGAACATTCCCAATGATTCGAGGCTGATGGCTGAAGTTTAATTCAAAGCTGTAATACCATGATTTGCATAGTTTAATTGACTGATGTAAAATAATAATATTTAGGACTCTTTTCTGAATACGTTCTACATATGAAATACATTACAAATTGAACTGCTGTCAGTTCTCCTTCCGGATTGGCTGGGACCATTATTACAGTCCATCAACTCACCATCAGACCATTACTTGCTCAGCAGTGTTCCCTGCGGACTTGCATTGCTCACTTTGAACATATTGCTTTAATAAGGAGAATTATTTCAGAAAGCTTGAGTTATCTCAGGCCCTGGAAGAAGCACTTCAGAACCTGACAAAGGAGTTTCTGTAGTAAATGACTTTGGAGATCAAAGAGTAAAATGTATATTTTACTTCATTTACATAAAAACATCCAGCACAGCATTTTACAAATTAACACAAATTTGATATAACACGAAATGATATATGACTAAATTCTTCCATCTCTAGGATTCCAGATGTGTTTTTTATGTTGGTTGATTTACTTTTTGATTAGTTGTTAGAACGTAAGACATCTGTTGCCATTGTACAGTGTAGAATATTTTAATGGTATTACTAAATGCCATGCATCTATCAGTGCCTAATCATGTGTCTAGTGCTAAAGCAACTCCCTGGGTAGGCTTTTCTAACAGATGTGGAACACTAGACTGCTGACCATGAAATTCTTCCAAAACAGCACTTATGAAAAGCAACTTCTTAGTATTAAATTTAGGTAGCAAAAAAAGTGCTAAAACTGTACAAATACAATTCAGCAAGTTTCATAATTTTATTTGATTTTTTATTGTTGCAGCTGTAATGGCATATGTTTTCTGTAGTTGCATTGTATGTTTAAGAAACTTAATTTCATTATTATTGATTACATCAGAATTTTCTGTTTTCTCTGAAGTTCAGGCAAGTAAGTCATAATACGCCTAGTGTCTAATAACCAATCAAGGTGGAACTAATGCAAATCAGACACCGATTAGAAAGATAATCATATAGTTATCCCCAAATAAACTGTATATACTTTTCTTTATTCCTGCTTTATTATCTAATTTTTATGGAATGTATGTCTGCTGAGAGGATTTACAGTGTTTATTGCTAATCCAGCCTTTATTTTCTTTAACTATTGATAAGAAAGTCTATGAAAAGATAATGACAGAATGAACAACTAGCTACCGGTAAATTTCAGAAATCAATAAAAGATCGCAGTTCAAAAATAGTTTCAGTGATATATTGCTGGCGATTTTATTTTACATATGTAGAATTCTAACGATAAATAGAATTCTGTGCTTATTTAGGTCATAAATACTATCATTGTGCAAATCTTACTGAAAGGAAGACAAAAACATATTCTCTCTGTACTAATGCTCAGCTAGACCTAAAGCAGTAATGACTGATCCCTTCAAAGTGTTATGGGAATAAGTCAAAGTTAGAATTTTGTTGCTAAACTCTTTGTACATTATATGCACATAAGTAGGCATCACTTTAGATAAAGTAGGAGATATCTCCTGGCCAAAGGAAATAAAAACATGGTAAAACAAAAACAAAAACAGTGTAGGGATTCGTTGCTTTCATGACTCTTTGAAGTCAAACAGAAGAATGCTTAAGTTATGACTTTGCCATTACCTAGCTATGTGATCTTCAGCAAGTTAAATAGCCTATTTTTGTCTCTGTTTCTTCATGAAATGTGGAAATAGAGATGACTACTTGGTAATAATTGTGAGAATTAAATATCATGTACTTCATGTTCCTGTATAAAGTTCATGCATACCAAGTTCAATAAGTCTTAATTATTATTATATTGTTTATTATTATTACACTATTATTTTTATTCTCTCTGATAATTACATGGAGTTATCATTCTGAGAAAAAATGTCCTGTAAAGGAACAAAACAGATGCTTAATTCTCATTGAAAATAAATTCTCACTCAACATCAATTATCAATTATGGCCAAAAGAAATATTTGTTGTCACTCTGTCACTGTTTAATGGAAAGAATAGGAACTTCATCTAAGTGTTCAATCCATTCTGCCACATGGGGGCATATTTTGTGCTTAATTTATTCTGATGTATCAACAGGAGGCAGATTATTATGGCCTAATAGAAATAAGACCTCTATAAGTAATATTAAATTAATCAGAATGCATAATAAAAGTAGAGGCATTCATTTCTAATACTAATTTTTAAGATGTATACTGCATCTCCAGTCAACATGTCTGTTTCATGTAGAAATAAGGAGGAAATACAAAGGCATACTTCAGGGCATCTTTAAGACTCTTACTTGGTAAGTTTCTACCACCTACTCCCACATAGCACATGGTATGTGCACATGACACTGAGTAATCTTTGTGCACATGACAACTGAACTGTGTCACACATGCACTTAATCTTTAAGGAAGATCAAGATGCAGAGTTTTTGTTGTTATTGTTGTTGTTATTGTTTTGTTTTGTTTATTTTTCACTGTGTGGTGTGCCACTCCCAATCAAACTGAAGTCCTGTTTTCAAGGAAGAAGGATAAACTAAATATTAGATAGACAACAATCACTCCTTGTCACAGTAAAGTACACAATAGTTAACAAAATGTGATTAAGGCAAACATCAGTTCTATAACATGGGAAATCACAAGGAGGAAGGAAGGAAAGAGGCATAACTCTTGGAGATCACAAGTTTCAATGCTCGTTGAAAAAAAAAGTAACTCAGGAAGCAGTTCAGAACTTAATCAGAACCTGAACTTGATATAATAATTAAAGTTCTTATTTTAATTCTGTTTACCAAAAAAAAAAAAAAAGACTGAAGTAATGCATGTCAAACCCTTAGAAAATCCAAGAAAGCTCCAAACAGAAAGGAAAAATATTTAATATAATCATAACCTCAATGCAAGGACCAACGTTAAGATTTTTAATAATATCTACATTTTTTAGTTAGGTATTATATTTACAAGTATACACAGTTTATAAATATAATTCTTTACCTATTTTACCTTTATTAAAAAATAAATTTAAAAACCTTCTACATTATTATTTTGTATTATTTTAATGTTAACAGTATAGGAAATTTGAAAGTAACAGAAGATATATTGCTCCTTTATAGGAGGATATAATTGCTTATTATAAAGTTCTGTTGTAAAGAAGATCATAATCATGAACTAAGTGACTTAGTGAGATTATAATGCAAGAATTTCAATAGGGATTTTCACTTAAAAATTCATAGATTCTCTATTGTTTTGGTTTTTCCAATATTATTTATGAACTATAGACTTTCAAAACAGACACACACACACACACACACAGACATATACATACACATAGTAAAGGAAAACAAAACATATTATCATAACCGAACTTTTTATTGCTTCCCAAATTGTCTTCTCTCATAATGTGTACCCATTGAAACCACAATATTTTCAGCTACCACGACTTAAGTCAGAACCTGTGAAGAGGCCTGTATCCGAATGGAATGTGTTGCACCTGCTAGAGTTGAATCCAACTCATCCACGGATATTTAGAAACTTGGATTATCTTTTGTGCTGTTTTCTAATCTATAAAATGGGGGCAATAATTTTTTGTCTAATTGGACGATTTCGAGAATTTAATGAGACGGCATGTTAAGAATTTAAAACATTGTCCATTATTACCCATTCTATTTTGGTCATATATTGGCCTATTATTTCTACCTCTGTATTAATTACATGCATTTCAAACTCTTTGTTCTCACTATAATTAATCATAATCACTTCTTTATTATCTTGCATTCCAACCAGTCTCACAACTTCCAATTTCCCCTTTTTAAATTTAATTTACTTTAATTTTTTTTTTTTTTTTTTTTTTTTTTTGAGACAGAGTCTCTCTCTCTGTCGCTCTTTTGCCCAGGCTGGAGTGTAATGGCATGATTTCAGCTCACTGCAACCTCCACCTCCCGGGTTCAAGCGATTCTTCTCCCTCAGCCTCCTGAGTACCTGGAATTATAGGCACCTGCCACCACGCCCAGCTAACTTTAGTAGAGACGGGGATTCACCATGTTGGCCAGGCTGGTCTCGAACCCCAGACCTCAGGTGATCCACCTCCTCAACCTCCCAAAGAGCGGGGATTACAGGTGTGAGCCACCCGGCTGGCCAGATTAATTTTCTTAGAGCAAACCTCTGATACACTTGTGCTGCTGCTCAAAAGTTGGTGGCAATTCCTCATCAACAATCAGTGAGAGGCTGCCTGACATTCAACATCCTCCACAATCTGGCTCAAACTCACTCTCCACCTTTTTGTCTCTTTACTTCACTTTTTCATTCATAGGGTACAACCATAATAATATTTTCTCTAAACCTTCCTATCTTTCCCCCCTGGATATACTTTCCTTACATTTTCACATATTTTAATCTCACCTGTTCTTCTAGCTTCCACTAAAAATATATTTTTCCATAAAATGTAGGCTTTTATTGTCTTCCTGTCATAAGCAATCTCTCCTGACGTTGAAATCCTCTAGAGTTTTATTTGCATCTCTTATGAGTCAGTGCTTTTTACATTTATCTGTGAGTTATAGAATCCATTTGTGACTTCTACATATTTTAAGAATTTAAGATTTTTTGAAGTGGAATTATGCATTTTTTCCTGTCTCCATAGCATCTGAGTTTATATAGAGGGGATACTCGATGAAATGTAATTGGCCCAATTAAGTAAAAATTACTCTTTTAAGTATTTCTAAAATTACAAAACTGATAAAATTGGCAAAGGTGTGGTAATATTACTTCAGATTCTAACACTCCATTCTATGATTTTATGAATGTCTCCTATAATTTTTAAGAAATGAGTAGACTGATGGAATTTTACGGCTAATTAGAGATTTTAGGAATCACGTATTCCAACTTCCTCTTGTAACTGATGAAGCTTCTGAGGTTTAGAAATGTTAAGGAACTTGCAAACACAACATTTTTATTGGCAACAAGAAGCTAGAACCTGGAATCTTACTTTGTGACAGGCAGTCTAGTAAACTTTCCACTATTTGTCAGCCTTAATTTGCTGTGTGGTCCAACCTAGAGTTGAGTGTTTAATGAAATGACTTCTGTTGATTTCTTTTCAACTTTGAGATATATTTTACATATTATAATTTAAATTATACAACTCAATAAATTTTCAGTAAATTTATTGAATTATGAATGAAATTATACATTATGTGGTCTCTTGTGACAGACTTATTTTACTTACCATAATATTTTTGAGTTTCATTGATATTGTAACATTTATCAGTAGCTTGTTCATTTTTAATGCTGACTAGTATTCTGTTGTATGGATATATAACACTTTGTCTATTTCTTCATCAGTTGATAAGCATTTAGTTTGTTTCTAATTTTGGCTATTTGAATAATACTTCCACGAATAACTTATGCACAGATCTTTTGTGTGGACATCCACCTTACTATCCACCTTTATGTCTCTTTCCTTCAGTTTTTCATTCACAGGGTATAGCCATAATAATGTTTCCTCTAAATTTATCTATCTTTTCACATACTTCTCCCCACTGGATATACTTTCCTCACATTTTTCACATATTTTAATTTTACCTGTTCTTCTAGATTCCACTAAAAATACGTTTTAGATACATAATAACAGAATATAATAGGTTTTATAGTATATTTACATTTAACTTTTAATAAACTGCCAACTGCTTTGCAAAGTGGCTGTACAATTTTACTTGCATATCAGCATTATAGGAGGTTTCCTGTTTCTCTGATCCTCAACATTTGCTATTATCTGTCTTTATTATAGCTAACATAGTGGATGTAAGTGTTTTCTTATTGTGATTTTAATTTGCACTTCCCTAATGACTAATGATGTTGAACATCTTACATTCTTACACATAAATATACCCACACATACGTACATATACGTATACACACGTGCATTAAATATCTGTATGTGTGTGTCTGTATCAGTGTGTGTGTATTCTCTTTGGTGCGCTGCCTATTCAAATATTTGCCTAATTCAAAGTCTCCAAGATTTTTTCCTGTTGTCATCTAAAAAAGTTTATCTTTTTCATTCTAAGATGTAGCTTTATGAAATATTTACAGTCTACTTTTTGTGTGTGGTATGAGGCAAGGTTCTAAGTTAATCTTTTTTTGTGAATTGCTTTGGTACCTTTTTTGAAAAACAATTGACCATAAATGTTAGAATTTATTTCTGAACTCTTAGTTTTAGTCTATTAATCTACCTGTTTATTCTTATGCCAATACCACACAGATCTGATAAATATAACTTTTAATAAGTTTTGAAATTGGAAAATGAAAGTACTTTGACTTTGTTCTTTTTCAAACTTGTTTTGGCGATTTTAGGTCTTTTAGATTTTCTACAATTTAGAATCAACATCAGTTTCTGCCAAAAAAAAAAAAAACTGCTGGAACTTTGTTAAGATTTATATCAAATCTATTAATTACTCTGGGAAGAATTATCATCTTAGCAATATTAAGTTTTCCAATTCATGAACAGAGAATATATTTCCACTTATTTGGCTCACTTTTAATGTCTTTCAACAATGTTTTATAAATTTCAGTGTACTATTCTTGGACTTCTTTTGTTAAATTTATTTCTGAATATGATATTTTATTTTATTTTATTTATATTTTCTTTAGAGACAGAGTCTCACTCTGTTGCCCAGGCTGGAGTGCAGTGGAGCAATCATATCTCACTATAACCTTGAAGTTCTGGGCCCAAACAATCTTCCCACCACAACCTCACAACCTCCTGAGTAGCTAAGAATACAGGGACATGCCACCACACCCAGCTATTTTTTTTATCAATTTTTTAAATTTTTCATTGTTTTTCTTTTCTTCTCCTTTTCCTTCTCCTCCTCCTCTTTCTTCTTCTTCCTCTTCCTATTTTTTTTTTTTTTTTTTTTTTTTTTTTTTTTACTCTTGTTGTGGCGATGGGATCTTTCTATGTTGCTCAGGCTGGTTTTGAACTCCTGGCCTCAAGTCATCCTTCCACCTCGGCCTCCCAAACCTCTGGGGCTATAAGTCTGAGGCACAGTACCAAGCCTAAGTATTTCATTCTTTTTCATAACAATGTGAATAAAATTTTCTTCTTGATTTTATTTTTGGGTTGTTCATTGCTTATATATTAAAATGCAATTCATTTTAGATATATCAATCTTGTATCACATAATCTTGCTTAAGCTGTTTATTTTTTCTAATACATTTGAAGAGGATTCCTTAGGGATTTTCTTTTTGTATACAGGATCATATCATGATGCGTAAAGGCAGTTTTACTTATTTTTTTCTAGTCTAGATACCTTTTATTTCTTCTTTGGTTTTATTCCCCAGAATATCTGGAACAATGTTAAATGATGTGATGACAGTAGACATCCTTGAAACTGTTCAGATCTTAGAAGGAAAGCTTACTTTTATTACTAATTATAATGTTAGCTATAGGGTGTTTATTATGTGGCCTTTACTAGGTTAAATATACTGAGAGTTTTTATTATACATGGGTGTTGGTTTTCATCAATTCTTTTTCTACATATTGAGATGATTATTTTGATATAAACATCCATATATATACACACAAAACATCTACATATATACACATACGTGTGTGTGTGTATGTGTGTGTTAAAGCACTTTATATTATTAGGATACGTCCCATGATGTCATAGTATATAAATTTTTACATGTTGTGGACTTGGTTTACTAATATTTTGTTGTTCTAAATAGCTTCTGAAAAGATTACTCAAATGTTTTTCTTTGAATGTCCATATGTTTCTAACATAAATTGTAGACTAGATATGCTACTTGAACTATTTGCTGATAAAGAAGAGATTACCTTATGTTTTTAATTATAATGCAGTATGGTGACAACAAGGGGAAAGAAACTTCCAACACCAGTTTAAATACCTCTGGAGAATTTCATAGCACACTCATTATTAGTCCAAAACTACTGCCATCAGAGAGTTGGTGAGACAAAGAATAGGGATTTCCCATTTCATGTAACTCAATTTCAAGCCCCAGCCCCTTGCTTCTGAACTCTCTCCAACTCTTTCATGTATGTTAATCCTCATCTTTGATCAAACTACATCTTTGACTTTTTTTGTCATCTTTCATTTCATTCATTCTGGCAACCACCTTTTGGGTATATTTTGGTTCCTTTGTCTGCTAGTGTTAGCATCTCTAAATCTGTCCTTAATTCTACTAGACCTACTGAGTCTTCCTTCTTAACTTTTAAATTCTGAGTTATTGGAGAATGTCTCTATATGATGTAGGCCAGCAACCTTGTGAAATCACATGGCTTATCTGCGCCCCCCTTCCCCTGAATTGAATCTGTCTTTGTGATTTGTCACATAGAATATGACAGAATTAACATTGTTCAAATTTCAGATGCTAAGACTTAAGGTGTTACAGATTCCACTCTTGTTCCTTTGGAACACTGTGAAAAAAATACAGACTGGAGGATAAGGGGTCATGTGGGTGCGACCTAGGATAACTCAGCTCACAGCCAACACCAACTGCTAACATGTGAGGCCATGTTAGAGCCTCCAACCCAGTCAAGCCTTCAGATAACTGCAGCTCCATGAGCAATCCTAGATGACACAAGCAGAAGAAATCCCTGAACAACCAATCCACAGAATTACGAGGAATAATATATTTATTATTCTTTTAAGTCACTATAGATTGGGATAGTGTGCCACAAAGTTACAGATAACTAATACACAAATGATCAAGGTACTTCATCTACCACCCTTTTTTTTTTTTTTTGACTTACCACAGTCACTTTCATTAATATTTATACATATTTTTAAAACAAAAAAAATTTCTTTCACTATGAAAATTCTCTTTGAGTTTAGATAGATTTAATTTTAAGAATTCTTTCCAATATCAATGAGTCCTAGTAAATTATTGATATTCAACCTACAACTTCCGTCATGTACATATTTGTTCTGCCAATATATAGCCATACAAACCCTTTCCTGACTCATCCAGTAGATTGAATATCTCCTTTTTCTACACTGTGTATCTACTTTGTATATGCTTCTATAGTTGTATTGTTCACTCTCTACTGTAACTTTATGAGTTTACTTGTCTATCTCGCTTTTTTGTCTGTGTGCTTCTCGTGGTAAGGGATTGTGTTTTGTCAACCTAGGTATCCTAGATATCCACACTTTTCTGGCACAAATTCAGAACTCAGTAAATATTTAATGAAATAATGAATGGATTAATGATCAATTGTTAGAGCCAGTGATGGATGAAGAAATGACTAAATGAATAGCTTATTTAAAAATATTTCTTTAATTTGTTAGTTCCTTTCCATTTTTACTTGTAACATCTCTAGAATTCTAACATATTTGTCTTGTGTTTTTATGTGTGTTTCGCTTTCTTCCCCAAATAGATTTTAATGTCTTGGGTGGTGAGACTATAACTGATACTATGGTATATACCTTGTAGATAAGTGATTTTCTACTATGACTACTTGTTGTCACGTATTTGATTGTTTTATTCTTAATTTCTCTACCTAATTCTCATATAGATATATGAAAGTTTACATTCTCATAGTTAAATATTTTTGGTTTTGAAAATTTAATGACAACTGGCATTACTGGAAACATCACAGCTTGGTACAGAAAAAGGCAGGAACTCTCAACACTAGGGACTAATAAAATTATTGTTGGCTAAGACACCTAAATGTAAATCTTAATTGCAATAAGTAGTCCCCCATCTCCATTCATCAGTGCTAGCATAGCTTTAACTTTTAAGTAAAAAATCTAGTACATGTCTTGTTTCTGTTATTTAGTAAATTCAGTTGTTGAAAACATGTTAGTTATTTCTGGTCCAAGGATGCCCTACTCCAGCCAGAAAATATGTTTCTTTTGCGAAGGGATTCATCACTCGTATTAAAAAACAAGTTCAGAACATGTCCTCATTATCAAGAGTCAACAGCATCAATGTTACATGAAAATAGTAATGAACATTATTCTTTAGATATTTTTAATTTTATAGACTAAGATAAATGTATTTTTTCTCAAACTAAGCTTTCTATACTACTGATTGGCCAGTACATTACATAGAGGGTTACATATGCATATACAGACATACATAGTTATATACTATATATGTTATATATGTATCTTCTGGGGAGGGAGTTGCTTATGGATGTTTGGTATACAATACTAATGAAGTCCTTTAAGACTTTCTGTCTTTTAATCACTTAATATTATATATTTTGTATACTATGAAATTTTACTTGTGAGACTAGTTCCATAATTAACAATCCCAATTATTTTACTTCTGACTGCTGTTTTATTGCTCTGGTAGAGACAAACAGTAATTAGAATAATTACTGCATTTATTACATGTAGTCTCTTGAGATTTATAATAAATTTTCCAAAAGTCTAATGAGAAAACAAGAATGCAGTGTTCTTTCTATAATAATTGCTAGCAATTTTTTTCTTAAGTAATTTTGATTATTTTAAGAAATTCTTTATGCATTGATTTGATAAACAAGTAGATAACCAAAGTTTATACTTTATTTTAATGAATAGTAACCAAAACTATTTTTTTCAAAGTTGTAATCTAACAAATATTTTGAAGAAAAATAAATAGTAAACAATCATCTGACTCCTGCATAAAAAATGTGAATTTGATTATTTTGAACAATGAGTATTGCTTGTTAGGAAAAAGTGGGTTATAGCTTGACTAGACCCAACTGAAAGGATGCAAAACTACTTCAGAGTTTTCCCAAAGCAATTACTTCACCCAGTCACCTTTTGTTATCTTATGTTAAGTACTGATTGTCCTTTTGGGTAAGAAACATTTGATTGGATTCACAAAAGCTTTAATGAATCCAAAAGAAGTCGGAAAATAATTGCCGCTTTTAAAATTCTTCTGATTTAAGGCAACAGCATCTTTGCAGTCAATCTACAAACTGAATTACATTCAACCTACTGTACTACTATTTATTTATACAGATATGCTGTAATGTGATTCAGTATTCAAACAAAAATAGAAGACTAGCAAAGGAATCTATCTGAACAATGACATTTAAAGAAACAGCCACGTTGTTAATTACAAAAGATATAATACACAAATGACATGTCTTTAGGATTTTTTTAAACAGAAAGGAAATGTGGACTTGTAAAGATGTAAAACTTTTCATTAATTGAATGGTCAAATCATTATTGAAAATTTCTAGCATAATAAAAATTATAAAATGATAGGGAATTTTACATTTTATGGAACAATCAATCAGCTTTGTGGAAAACTCTATAATAAGCTAACATGTTTTCTAAACATTAATAAGAAATGTATATGCTCTTTCCTGCACTGAACTTTAGTATAAATCAAATTACCATGGGACTGGCAGTCACTACTTCTGATTCTTAGCTTATTGAGTGATGCTGCTCTCCCTCAACAGATATTCCGTCCCCTAAAATCCTTTATCTGCATAAATCAGACCCTCTAAGTTTGAATAACAAACAAAAATGCAAGGAGATGAATTCTACAGAGATCAAGGAACAAAAATTTACAATAAAATATATTGTTAGAATCACTATAGAATGCAATTTTATATTTAGAGTTTTTGCCAGTTTCAATATATGTGTATCTGATGCTAGGGTGCTTCAAAAATTATGGTGGTTAAGATGTCTTAGTTGGTCCCAAGGAGGATAAGAGTTAGCAGAGTTGCTTGAATTTATATCTCCTGTTCTAATGCTCCATTTTCTCCCTAGAGATCAAGCACACATTTTTCTTATTAAAGAAGTTTTGGGAGAGTAGATCATCATATTCCCGTCAAGATCACCCTTTGTCATGAGTCAAAATCATCTAGCTAATCTCTCATGATTTCCTTTGAGCACACTGGTTCACTAGAAAAGATCTTTACATTAATTTTAAACCTCAATATTTCTTCTCTCAATAGAAAAACTTTGAGAAACATTAAAAATGAGTATGTTCTGGTGATGTGGAATGAATTCACAATATAAGAAAGGAGACTTCTTATGATGTGTGTTTTCTTCAACCAAAAAATGGCATTAGAAATATTCATAATTCACTGCCAACTTTAATATTAAATGCTAAAACCATGAAATTTTCAATGAACTTAACCTGATCCGGTGGCTATATTGACATAAGACAGGTTAGAGAGCTATTAGTCATTAAGAATTTACCATGATGATTAGATTCTTGTAACATAAATTTAGAGTAGAATCATCCTGCTCACTTCATACCTTGTTTTCCAGAAAAGGAAGTTAAAGAGCACATATACATACACTGTAACCCAATATGTGAAACATTAGGGAGTTTTGAGAAATTCCTTTTTTCCCCGAGTGTGTTCTCTTATTTTATATGTCTGAAAAGGCTTGCAAGACTAAGAGCTGTGATGAAAGCATCCAAGATTTCTCAGAAAAAAAAGAATCAATGTAAGAAGGAGGAAAACAATATAGTGATCTATAAGAAGCATCACCTTCTTAAAAGAGTCTAAAACCCAATGTCTCATGTATTTTCAGTTGTAATGCTATTTTTCTAATTATTAGGAATTAGAAAGGAAGCTATAATAATTGCAGCTATTGTGGAATAAAAACAAATGTTTGTGTACATCGTTTATAACTGCAAATATTTATACAATTTTAGTATCACTTATTGTGAAATTAGTATAATGTTATTTAGATTCTTTGTGAATTATTTTTATTCATAATCATAGTATTTTAGCATTTCTATAAACTATTTGATCCAAATCAAATCAAAGCTCTGTAAAATTATTATTCATAGTAATGATATAGAAATTTTTCAGAGATAAAAATCTTACGTTGGTTTCCTTTAACACACGTATTTATTTATTTATTTTTTTTCTGAAAGCCACTCCTAATAAGGTCTGCCACATAATTGAGTCTTTGGCTCTCAAAATAGTATTCTTGGTACCTAGCACAATGCCTATTACACATTTATGGCTATTTGATGAGTGAATAAGTGACTACTATCTTGAAACTAAGCAATATCTCAGTATTCTTAAAATTTTTTTAAATGTAAATCTCTTAAAGGTTCAGGTTCATATAAAGGAATACTCACATACTTCCAATATTTTATTTAAACCTAAGGAAAAACAACATCATAGAAATTCTAAAATAATTTTTAAAAACTACAGGATAATTTTTTGGGTGAGGTAGGGCACTAAATTGTGCATTTAATGCAAGAGACATTGGTCTTTATAGTTTGCAGAAAGAATCAGACAAATGAATTGGACAATGAATTATATAAGTGATGTCAGAGTCCCAAGAAACAGAAAAAAATGAACCAAACATCCTATGTTAAATCTAATGAAAGTCATAAACTAGAGCCTAATTATTCTTGGGTATCAGACAGATTCATTTCAGCATGTCTTTACTTTTCCCAATTTCCTTGATCAATGACACTCATTTTTGTTAAAGCAGTTTTCCTTTTATTTTCTGACTACTTTTTACATCTCACTAATATATTTTCATGTACATAACTCTGACATTAAAAGGCATATTCTATTTTTGTAATTAGTATTCTATTATTAATTACTATTGTTTTAGGATTAGAAAACAAAAATGTTTTATTTTCATTTTACATTTAGGTACAATTTTATTACTATAATTTAAAATAATATTTTATCAGGAAACAAATAATACACGTAAAAGTTGTTTCAAAGCAAGCAAATGGATGAATTACTTAGAAAGTTTTTTCCCTGTGTACCTTTCATTAGAGTAAGACATAACTGCAATACTGATTTTATACCAGCAACAGATTTTTATTGATTAAACTATCATGTTGTATCGAGTTAAAAAAATAATCAGTCTCACAATACATTCTCATCTCTCTAGAAGCCTATAATTTAAGGAAATGTTAGTATGCCCATTAGCTGAAACATGGAGAATCCTAAATCTTTTAATCATTGAATAGATAGAATTCAACCATTCCACATAAGGTAGCGCCAGAATTATCTGTCCCAACATTTACAATGTGATTGACAATGTAAAAAGTAAAAATGTCTCCAAATTATACTATCGCCCTTACATCAGAGAAAAAGACCTCCTTCTGGTTTTTCTTTGAAAACTTAAGTGGCTACCAAATTTTTGCATGTCAAAATTGAATCAAATTTTTCTATTTTTATTCAGAAATACATCTTTTATATGATTTTTACTTTAAATAAAAACAAAAGTAGATTAAATAATTAATAACCCGAAGTGGCATTAAAGTATGGAGAAGACTGATTGCTTCTTAATCACAAATTCCAGGGAATATTTGAAACAAATGACAAATGTATGTAAATAAGAGACCATTCCAACTTAAACGTGAACTCTGAGTGTCATCCCACAATCAGTTAGTTCATTCTTTTGCATAGTTAATAGAAATGTTTTAAAATATGTAAAAACAAAATTCAACATTCAGAAAAGCAGCAAAATGGATAATATTCACTACACTTTTTTTCCACAAGTTTCTCTGTGTGCATATTATGCACATTAGAGGTTGTGTCATTTGTTTATTCTATCAGAGTCAGTAAGAATGTATTAGCTTATTTCTGGATTTTGAATTCACAACAGCCCATCCATTTATATCAGTGCCTTAATTTTTCTGGGCAATCTCTTTCATTACACTTACTAGAGTTTTCCTCTATCCTAGAACTATAGCTTCCTAGCAGACAAAGTTATTAACCTCTGTGGCTTACCTCACTACGATTGGGAAAACTTTTCCCATCTCATCACAGCCATGTTCCTATTTGTGCACAAAAGTAATTTGCAGTTCTATGGATCTGCTGAGAGGGTCTCACTAAAATGTCTCAGATACTTCCCTTGAATAATATTAAATGTCTCAAAATGCACACAAATAAAACTCTAGAGTACAGTCAAATTTTATCCAACCATTAATTTGATACGTTAAACTAACCATAAATTTGTTGGAAGTTAGCTTAGGGATAAGTCTCACTCCTTCTAAAGTATAAGCTATTATATATTGAATATCAGTCATTGTGCTATGCATTTTACATGCAGTTTCATTTATACCTCCCATTAATTCTAAGAGTCAG